>NC_000012.12:33039760-33192455 GCF_000001405.40 Homo sapiens | reverse complement strand
CACTATAAAGAAATGTCTGGGCCACGAGCAGTGACTCACACCTGTAATCCCAGCACTTTGGGAGGCCGAAGTGGGCGGATAACAAGGCCAAGAGATGAGACCATCCCAGCCAACATGGTGAAACCCCGTCTCTACTAAAAAAAAATACAAAAATTAGTTGGGTGTGGTGGTGTGTACCTGTAGCCCCAGCTACCTGGGGGACTGAGGCAGGAGAATAGCTTGAAGCCAGGAGGCGGAGGTTTCAGTGAGCCAAGATAGCACCACTGCACTCCAGCTTGGCAACAGAGCAAGACTCTGTCTCAAAAAAAAAAAAAAGGCCTGGCCTGGTGGCTCACACCTGTAATCCCAGCACTTTGGGAGCCAGAGGCGGGCAGATCACAAGGTCAGGAGATTGAGACCATATTGACCAAAATGGTGAAACGCCGTCTCTACTAAAAATACAAAAATTAGCTGGTCGTGGTGGCGGGCGCCTGTAATCCCAGCTACTCGGGAGGCTGAGGCAGGAGAATCACTTGACCCAGGGAGTCGGAGGTTGCAGTGAGCTGAGATCATGCTGCTGCATTCCAGCCTGGTGACAGAGAGACTCCATCTCAAAAAAAAAAAAAAAAGAAGAAAGAAAGAAATGTCTGAAAGTGGATAATTTACAAAGAAAACAGCATTAATTGGCTCACAATTCTGTAGGCTATACATAAAGCATGATGCCAGCATCTGCTTCTGGTAAGGGCCTCAGGAAGCTTACGATCATGGCAGAAGGCAACAGGGGAGCAAGTATATTACATGGCAAAAGCAGGAGCAAGAGAGTGGGGGACGTGTCACACTCTATAACAACTAAATCTCATGTGAACTCAGAGCAAGAACTCATTCATTATCACAAGGACAGCACCAAGCCATTCATGAGGGAACCACCCCCATGACCCAAACACCTCCAACCAAGCCCCAGCTCCAACACCGAGGATTTCACCATGAAATTAGGAAGGGTCACACATCCAAGCCATATTCAGGGACTTAATTAAACTAAAAATCTTTGTCAACAAAAGAAATAGCAGAGTGAAGAGACAACATATTAAGTGAGAACATATTTGCAAACTATTCATCCAATAGGGGACTAATATCCAGAATATATAAGAAATTCAAACTCGTCAACAACAACAAAAATAACAAATAATTCCACTAAAAAGTGGGCAATGGACACAAATAAACATTTTTTTCAGAAGAAGATATACAAATAGCCAAAAGATATATGGAAGAAATGCTAATCATCAGAGAAATGCAAATAAAAATTACAATAAGATATTATCTTACTCCAGTCAGAATGGCTATTATTAAAAAAAAGAAAAAATAACAGATATTGGTGAGGATGTGGAGATAAGAGAATGCTTTATACACTGTTGGTGGGAATGTAAATTATTACAGAGTCTCTAAAAAACAGTATGGAGATTTTTCAAATAACTAAAAATAGAATTCAATTGAGCAATCCCACTACTGGGTATATAGCCAAAGGAAAAGAAATCAATATATCAAAAAGATACCTGCACTTGCATGTTTATCATAGCACTATTCACAATATCAAAATATAGAATCAACCTAAGTGTCCATCAATGGAGGACTGGATAAAGAAAATGTGATCTATATATAAATAATGGAATACTGTTCAGCCATAAAAAAAATCATGTCTTTTGCAGCAATGGAACATTATCTTCAGTGAAACAAGCCAGGCATATGGAGAAATATCACATGTACTTACTTATAAGTGGGTGCTACAAAATGTGTTCATATGAATATAGAGAGTGGAGTGATAGATAACAGAGACATGAAAGAATAAGTGTGTGGGAGGGGAGAGGAGGATGAGAAATTGGTTAATGGGTACAATATATGTTATTCAGCTGATAAGTATTCTAAAAGCCCCGACCTGACCACTATGCAATCTATGTACATAACAAAGTTGCACATGTACCTTATAATTTTATACAAATAAAAAGGAAAACAATAAAAATAAAAATATTTTTCTAAGGATACTTGTGTGTATATTGATAACGGACATGAGTAGGTAGTTACGTTTTCTTGTAAATTCTTCATAAGACATTCATATTGGGGATATGCTGGACTTTTAAAAAATGAGTGGGAAAATGTTCCGTCTTCCTCTACTTCCTGAGTTTTTGTGTATATTTTTTTTTCTTTTTAAATGATTGATAGGATAACTATCTGGACCTGGAATTGGTTTTCTTCATGGAAATGTAATTACAAATTAAATTTCTTTAACATATAAAGATATTCAGATTTTCTGTTTCCTTGTGTGTCAGTTCTGATAATATATGTCTTTCAAAAAACTTCCCCATTTTATCAGAGATGTCAAATTTATTGGCATGCAGCTTTTCATAATGTACCCTTGTTATCTTTTTAACATCTGTAGGATCTGAGGTAGTAAGTCCACTTTCGTTCCTAATATTGTAATCTATTTTTTCACTCTATTTTTCTTGATTAACCTAACTATACGTTTAGCAATTTTATTTTTTCAAAGAACAAATTTTTTAAAATATATATTCTCAATTGTCTATCTTCTATTTCATTATTTTCTACTGTTTTAATTTTTCTTGTCTTATTCTATATTGTTTTCGACCTTTTTCCTTACATAAAAACTTCAAACTGTATATTTTCCTGTAAGTACTGCTATAGCCACATTCTACAAATTAGATATGCTCTGTCTTAATTTAGTTTAAAATACTTTCATTTTCTTCATGATTATATTTTACCCTGCAGCTTATTTGGAAATATGAGACCTAAATACCATGTGTTGTGGAATTATCCAGATATCCTGTTTTGTTGATTTCTAGTTTAGTTCTCTTATGATCAGTGAATATGTACTGTTTGA
This sequence comes from Homo sapiens, assembly GCF_000001405.40. NCBI lineage: Eukaryota > Metazoa > Chordata > Mammalia > Primates > Hominidae > Homo > Homo sapiens. The sequence goes on along the minus strand of NC_000012.12, from coordinate 33,189,586 downwards.
TTTCAGTATTCTGCCATGAAGACTTTTTATTAAGAATTTTTGCACAATTCTTTAGTTTATATGCCCCACATGTACTTTAAAAGAATATATATTTTAAATCACATGTAATGCTCTATAAATATCAATTAAATCAAGGTGCTTTATAAATATACTTACTAAATTTTTGTCTATATCATCTACCAATTACAACAAAAGGATTATTAAAAGATCCTGTTGTAATTCTAAATTTATTTAATTAATTTAGTTTTTGCTTTATGAATTTTTATGCTCTGTCATTTGGTCCATTTACATTTAGTGTAATTATTAATATGGTAAAGTTTAAGTCTACAAACTCATCACTTCCTCTTGATTTTTTTGCTGGTATTATTTCTCTTTTGCTTTCTCACTTTATTTTTGATGAACTAAATATATTTTAGTGCCACATTTTATTTCCTCATTTAATTCTTAGTTATCTATCATTATCTATTTATTTTAGAGTTAACATTTTGCATTCTTATTCTGTCAGACGCTAGAATCAATATTTTCTCTTCATACATCCATTTTGCATCTGATATTTCACATTTCCTAATTCACCTTTCCCCTTTCTCACATTATATCTGTCCAAGAAACAGGGTTTAAAGTTTGAGTTTCACAAAGTTAGAGAGGCTTGGAAATACTGATGCTTCTGAGTTCAAACTTGAATTAATTTCCTATTGCTGCTATAACAAATTACCACAAAAAATATATAAACAAATTTAAACCTTTTAAAAATTAAATTTAAAAATGCCACAAACTTTGAGGCCTAAAGCAACACAAATTTAATATCTTATACTTCTGGAAGCATAAAATTAGTTACACTGAGCTAAAATCAGTGTTAACAGGCCTGCATTCCATTTAGAAGTTGTAGAAAAGAATCCTTTTTTTGTGTGTTTTCCAACTTTTAAAGGTCAACTACATTTTTTAGTCTTGTATCCCCCTCCTCCATCTTAAAATCCAGCAATATAATATCTTCTCTTCTCTCTGATTTCTGCTTTCATCTGTACGTCTTCTCTCTGCTACTAATCCTCTTTCCTCCCATCTAAGAACCCTTGAGATTTCACTGGGCCCACCCAAAAAATCTAAAATAATTTCCCTATCTCAAAATTCTTAACTTAATCACAACTTTGAAGTCCCTTGTAGGATAACATATTCATGGGGTTCATGGATTAGGATGTAGGCAACATTGGGAGACCATTAATCGGACTACGATAACACTTTACACCCCTCACTTCACAAATTTCATAATGTTACTCATTACAAGAGTATACTTTCATTTACCCATATACTCAATTTTTGTGTAATTATTGTTATAACCTTTACTTCTATATGTATTACAAACATTATTTATGGTATTATTATTTTTCTTTAAATAGGCAATTGTTTTTCAAGTACATTATAAGAACACATATTCTTTTATATTTATCCACCTGCTTAACGTCTAGTTCTTTATTCTTTCATTGAGGTCTGAATTTCAAGACATTTCCCTTTAGCTTGTAGTACATCCTTTAGCAAATAAAACTTTTTTCAATAGACGGATAATGCATTAGATGAAATATAACCCTCATAGAATGAACCTTTTTTATGAGATAGGCCATAGGTTATCCAACAATCACCCTGGTAGTTATAGATACAGGTCACATAGAAAATTCCTATAAGCCTTTCTATCGTTTTGCAGAACATTTTGTTAAAGCACTGTCAACTTAACATTTTTCATATATTTTTTGCTATTACATAAAAAGCAGTATATTTGGAAGCAAGGGTTTTATTTTCCTGTTTTCAAGATATTATGTTGCAGGTGGTAGAAAATCAGTCAGAAAAAGAAAACAGGGAAGGTGGAAAACAGATATAAGGCATGCATGCAGAGCACTCAGCTTGGGCTGATGGCTATCTTTTTTTACCCATTGGTCCAATTTTTCTGGCTTTTCTGTGTGTGTTGCTGGGTTATAATTGCATATATTGTGCAATCAACATAAAACCAACTGGCTGAACAGGTTGTTCTTCACTAGCCAAAAAAAAAAAAAAGGTTCATGTGATTAGAATTAAAATTTCTAATTAAGAATGGTTTTTAGACTTCTAATTTGAAAGGCTTATCTTATTCACTAAAGGTCTTTATGAAGATTAAGAGATCTAAGACAATTTAGCTTGTCTTCATTGCAAAAGCAGGCATAAATATTGTAAGTATCAAAGAATAGCTAACCACCACCAGGTAAAGTTAATTCTCACTAATTCTGTATCTTTAGGCTATGTAATGATCAAAAGGAGATGTTAACCAGATATAATTTTGTTTGTGTTGCCTCTAATGTCCTATGTCCCCACATTTTACAGAGGAGTGAAAACTATGTGAAAAAATATTTTTTCTCACCAAATTTCATGGTAAGGTATATCATAATTGCTATTTCCCTGGTAGATGAAAACCTATCCAGTAAAAAACACATTTTGGAAATGCAAATGACACAACAATTTGACAGATGGTTACTAAGAACAAGGACAGTTGGTGACATGGGCTAGTTTTAAAGCTGATAAAAGGGAAGCAGTTTGGAGTAGTAGTACTTTTTTTTTTTCAACTTTTATTTTAGATTCCAGGGTATGTGTGCAGGTTTCTTACAAAGGTGCATTGTGTGATGCTGAGGTTTGGAGTAAGATTTAACTCATCATCCAGAAAGTGAGCATAGTATCCAACAGGCAGTTTTTCAGCCCTTGCACCCCACCATCCCTTCCCACTCTAGGAGTCCCCAGTGTCTATTGTTATCATCTTTATGTCCATGTATACCCAATGTTTAGCTCCCACTTTTAAGTGAAAACATGCAATGCTTGGTTTCCTGTTTCTGTGTTAGTTTGCTTAGGTTAATGGCCTCCAGCTGCATTCATGTTGCTACAAAGGACATGATTTTGTCCTTTTTTATGGCTGCATAGTATTCCATGGTGTATAACGGAGTAGTAGTTCTTAAAGAAGACTAGCATATCGGAAACTCTAAGGCTTTTTTTTTTTAGAAACAGAATCTCACTATGTTACCCAGGATAGTCTTCAACACCTGGCTTCAAGAAATCCTCCTAGACTGCAGGATTACAGGCCTGAAACACTGCACCCAGCCCCCAGCCAACCTGAGACCATATATGTTTTATGTTTATTCCTTCTGCTACCCTTCTTCCTTTTTCTATTAATAGCTCCAACAGAGCTAACATTCCTGGGACAATGAGCATTTACAAAGTTTTTTAAAGCATGCATCAGAAACACCTGAAAGACTTGTTAAAACAGATTGCCTGACCCCACCTTCAGAATTTCTTATTCAGTAGGCTTGGGGTGGGGTCTAAGAATTTGCATGTCTTACAGACTGACAAGTGGTACTGATTCTGCTGGTCCAAGGACCACACTTTGAGAATCATTAACTTTAAAAAACTAGGGATACAAAAGAGTAGTGATTTCAACCAACTTAGAGAGTCTTGACATATGACAGAAAAGAGTATACTAACTGATGTGAAATCAATCTAGCAGAAAAAACCGGGAACAGAAAAGAGTCATGGTGGGAGATATTTTCACACAAAAGAGAAGTGTTCCTGAAAGGAGAACTTAGTAAAAAGGTACTTGATTTCTGCCAGAGGCAAATGAAAGTGCAGTATCAGATTCAACTGTCTATAGGCAGAATAGTTCTAATCTGAAGAAGACAGCTAGAAATAGAGAGTATTCCCTTGGGCAGAAGTGAAAGTTCTCCAACATAACCAGGGTACAGTAAATCTGAAAGGGTACAGTAAAAACCTGATCATTGTATAATCATCATATATGATCATTATATGCCCTAATTCCCTTATAGAGCAATGAAAGTCACCACGGGGGAGCATTTTGCTTTGGATGACTAGGAAGACACCAGAAAAGATGAAGACTCATAGCAACACCCTAAACGAGGTAACTGATTAGGATTCAGGGATTGCAAAGTTGGCAGAAAAAAAAAAAAGAAAAAGAAAAAGAAAGAAGGAAAAAAACTACTAGACAGAAGTTAATGTGAGGTGGCTGCCAAACAGGGGCTAGGTTAGACAAAGTAGACTTCCTGCCTTTCACTAACATTTAGAGTATGAGTCTCAGGACCATGAGCTTCTGCTGTTCAAATTTCAGCATTCTTGCATTGATAGATTTTAGGGAAAAAGACAATGAAGGATGAAAACCATCTGAAGTCCTGACCCAGCCCCTGCCAAATCTGTCACTAGTTACAAAAATAGAAAGTGCTAATATTGAGAATCTACAAGGAACTTAAACAAATTTACAAGAAAAAAACAAACCCATCAAAAAGTGGGCAAAGGATATGGACAGACACTTCTCGAAAGACAAGCGTATACCATGACAAGCATATACCTATGTAACAAACCTGCACGTTCTGCACATGTATCCCAGAACTTAAAGTATAATTAAAAAATAAAATAAAATAAATAAAAAAGAAAAATAGATTGGTGAATTGCACATATAGTCTAACATACACTTCTAACAATTGTATATTACAAGGGTCTCCAATTTGGAGCTGGGTGATGTCAAGAAGAACTACAGAGCCAGATGGGCCACTGTAGGCTTCTCACCAAGTTGGCCCCTGTATCATTTTATTGATACAATCATCAAAGTTACCCACACTTAGAAGGGCATTTTTCCTCAGTTTTTAAGTGGTAGCTATGTCAAAAGCATGTGCAAAAATAGGTGCTCAAATTTGTAGTAGTGTCAGCACCAGCAGCAAAACAACACCTGCCATACAGCTTTGGAAAGCATCCAACATCTAAAAGAAAAATATCTGTGCCTTTATTTCATGGAGATTCATTTGAAGATAGTCAAGGTCCAGGACCTTGCACTGGGAGATGGTAATACCTTTCCACATGCATTGGGAGATGGTAATACCTGGAAAAAAATGACAGTATGTGGTACATTACAAGCTGGAATGTGTAGTCCTCACAAATAAAGATGGTACATGGAGGCAAAGATGGAAACCATCTGGTAGCAATGAAAACTGGAAATTGTGGCGTTCTGTGCATCTCATCTGTCCAGATAGCAGAGATAGAATGTTATCTTATTTTTGCCCAGTAAATCTAAAACAAACGAAAGACTATTGGATCCTGAGCTAGGAGATAGCGCATTTATCTCCCTTCCAGCTGTAGAATCAGAAGGGAATTAATTCATCCAAGTAAACAGAAGGGGACTCAAGGCAAATCCTTGGCACTCTGTCTCCAAAAATCCTCTTGGTTGGCTAATTCTCAGGCTCAATAGATTTGTTTTTATTTGAGAATGAGTAAAACAAAAACATACCAAGTGATTCAGACACAGGGAAGAGACCCAAAAGAAGAAATGTACATCGAATACTTTAGAAAACTATTTGGCAAACTTAATAGCATCCTTGAAACAAGACCAGAAAACCCAGAGAGAGAGAAGAAAGTGAAAATAAAGCAGCACAGGACAAGGGTGAGATGCAAGATCATAAAGTAGTAGATGAGACTCTTTCCTTAAGTAAATTTTATTGCTACTTCATTATCTTTTTTCCAATATGTGTAAAATATGTAAGAAATATAAATAAAATACTATTTCTGATATCAATCCATCAAAGAGTTGAGTCAGAGCTGAGGTTTTTCTCTACATTTTCTGTGCAAACTTTCTTTTCTTCTTTCTCAATTGTTTGGTGAAATATCTATCTATATTTCTCTTTAAACAAAGATGCTGAATAGAGAAAGTTCAGAGAGAATGAGATATTTTTCAAGCTCCTTGTTCTGCCCATTTTAAAACAGTATAAAATCACTCTGCTGCTCTTAGAGAAATGGCAATGAGCAGGGCTTGGAAAGGCTTGCCAACCACACGCTCCTCCACATAGGTCTGCATTTGCTCCTCTGCTGCTGCCCGTGGTAGGTGTAAATCTTAGCAAAATTAATAGACCTTACTGGTGATTATGAGCCTTCACCACTACTGATCATATAACTCTTCTGTTTTTTTCCATTTTCCCTTGCCTTAGGGACTTGAAAGTTTTCTGTGTATAAGTAGGTGGAGGCAGAGGAGGGTTAATATGAACCAATTCAAACAGTGGCCATAACACTTCTCACTCAACCTTACACTCCATATCAGATGCTCTGGATTCCTTGTCAGCTCCATCATCAACAAACATGTGATACCTGAGCACTTACCACCAAGCTACAACCTTAGTCAACAGCTATATAACTGGTCTACCTGCCTTCATCTTTGTCCTGCTAAGTCTGTTCTCACAGAGCAGTTAAATTGATGTTTTAAAAACTGAGCTCACTAAATCTCTCCTCTGCTTAAACCCTTTAATGCTTCCCAACTCACTTCAAGTAAAAGCCCAGGGCCTCTGTACTTGCTGTTTACTCTAGCAGGAATATTCTTGCCCCAGGTTTAACCTTGACTCACTCCCTCAACTCCTTCAGGTCTTTCCTCAATTTCTAAGTGAGGCTTCCCCTAACCCCCATTTTAAAATGATAAACTTTCCCACATATACTCCTGTTTTCTTCCTGTCTTTACTTTTTCCATAGTACTTATTACATCCTTTATAAATGTTAAACCACAGTGAAGAACTAAGGCAAGAATCTGAATCAGTCAAGGTGTATTGAGACAGAGCTTCTGTGGCCTGTGCTCTCTGAAGAGGTTTTCAGGAGGCTCCATATTTAAACATTTCTTTAAGGAGGAGAAGGCTTGTGAGAAGAGAGGGTTAAGCAGTGAGGCAAATGGCTACATTTTTGTGAGACTTTAATTAGTACCCAGCAAATCTACCTTTTACATGAAGTAAGGTAAACATTCCAAGAAAATGGGAGTAAAAGAAGAGTAAATTATGCAGATGTCTCAAGGCAGATGAAGGAACCATTTATCTCATCTTGTCTTTGTTCTGCACCTGGGAAGATAAGCTTGTAATATACATTATCAGTGTGAAATCTAAAAGACTTTCGTTTTAGGAGCTAGACTTCAATGGCAAAGCTAAAGATAAAATTGACATTTCCTTGTTTTAGAGGAGAATATATATTTTGAAAGGTTTTGAGGCCAGAAAAGGATTTACTTATGAACAGTTTGTGAGGGCAGTCATCTGAGATGTATAAGGCTTTCTACCCTTCTGTGGAGGTCTGACCAATGTGTAATGCTTTGACATAAGGTTAGGAAGTAACAGATGTCCATTTGGGAAAAGGATGGCAGTGTTGTAAGACTCATTCTCCAGGCTTAACTTTCCTTTTGGCATAACAAGTTTGATGGTCCTGAGAAATTGTTTGTTGTTGTTGTTGTTGTTGTTGTTGTTCTTTCACAAAATATGCATTTCTTTTGGTCTATCTCCTCTCACTGGAATGAAAGTTTCACGAGGGCAAGGATTTTTCTGTCTTGTTTATTGCTATGTCCCTAGCACTGAAAACAGTTCTCATAATAGATGCTTCATAAATATTTATTGAAAAAATAGTTCCAAGATAGTCTTCATTTTACTATTCTGTGTTTTTTTAATTTTTGCACACTGGGCACGAACTGCTTATATAATCAAAAATATTAAAATAAGCATAAGGAAAGTCATACACAACACATAACTATATATAACTTTCTCCAAAGACATTACAAATAAAATAGGAAATTCTGGGAAAATATTGCAGGTCCAGAAAATTTAAATATTTCCAGGTTGAGTACCTTAATTATTCACTTATTAACTTGAAATATATTAGTGATTTCTCCCTCTTGTCTATGAAGCTCTTTCTTCTCAGATATATATTTTGACAAATATAAATTTCAAAAAATAATGTCATGGTTAGAAAGGAAGTATAAAAAATTGTTATTTTATTTGGAAAAATGGAACAGGATAAGAAATATACTACTAGCAAGCCAGTGGCCCACCTTTAAGCCTCCAATATTTTTTATGGATTTAAGAAGCTACAAATAACATCAATTTTATAGTAGCAATAACCAACAAAGTAAAAGAGCTTCAAATGAAAACAGCAGAAAATTCAATTGGTTCCCTTGGTATTTGATCTAAAGTAAGATAACTTTGTTGACAGTAGAAGGTTTTTAATTTGTCTTTTCACCCACCCACTTGTCTTTCTTTAGCAAAGATGACCCAGGGGCTGAGGTTGCCCTTAAAACTTAATTCATTTGGTTTTTCCTGGCCATCAGTCACACATGCATGTGGGAAAAGAAGCAAAAGAACATTGAGTTTTCATATAAAGCAAAACAGAAAAATTGATTTTCTTTTTCAATTATGCAACTCATTGAGGAACTGATTACCTGGTGTGAGTTTGGGCAAATGTATTCCTTAACTGATGATCAGTGTATTAAAATCCTCCAGTGGGAACATACTGCCTCTCCTCTTGGTTCTAGCTGCTACACTATATGTTGTACAACTTGCCATTCATTGCCAGTTGCTCCTCTCAGAGAAGCCCCTGTCCCTGAAGTTCACTCCCCTTCATCTGACCGCAGATGTCACTTCTGTTTTAATGGATCTGCTCTCCTGACTCATCCTGCTGGTGACTAGTATGTGGGTATTTGCTCATGTTGGAATTTCTTTCATGTGGTTTGATAAATATCAACTCTCTGATTTGCCTGATTCATAAACTAACTGCAAAATAAGACCAAAAATATTTAAGCATTATCCTCTTTTGAGTGTGAGCTGTAATCAGTGACTGAGAGTATAGAAAAGAGAGGTAAAGAGAGTAACTTTACAGTGGCTAAATCTAGAAAACACTGTCTTGGCCAGGGATTCAAAATTTATATCATCAGTCATTACTCCTGTAGATAGCATGTACCATGAAATGATGTGATGAGAATGGCATATCACTTCTGTGGTATTCTTCCCCAAAATTCAGAATCTGTCTAACTGTGAGAAAAACATTAAACAAAACCAGACTGAACATTTTACAAAATACCTGGCCATCTCAAAACTGTAAATAGGCCAGGCATGGTGGCTCATGCCTGTAATCCTAGCACTTTAGGAGGCCAAGATGGGCGGATCACCTGAAGTCAGGAGGTCAAGACCAGCCTGGCCAACGTGGCGAAATGCTGTCTCTACTAAAAATACAAAAATAAGCCAGGTATGGTGGTGTATGGCTGTAATCCCAGCTACCCAGGAGGCTGAGGCAGCAGAATCACTTGATCCCCAGAGGCAGAGCTTGCAGTAAGCCAAGATTGTGCCACTGCACTCTATCCAGCCTGGATGACAGAGTGGGACTCCATCTAAAAAAAAAAAGAAAACAGTAAATAATAAAGAACAAGAAACAAAACTGTTCTAGACCAATCGATGACTAAATTGATCCTGGAACAGAAAACAAGCATTAGGGGAAAAAATAGTGAAATCTGAATAAAGCCTGGAATTTAGTTAATAATTATATATCAATGTTTGTTTCTTAGTTGTGACAAAATTACCATGGTAATGTAAGATATTAAGAACAGGGGAATCTGTGTCAGCAGTATTCCAGAATACTGTATACTACCTTTTCAAATCTTCTGTTCAATCTAAAAGTGAGGGAAAAGAAAGGAACCAGTTAGGCAGATAGCTAGGACAAGTCCTCGGTAGAATTCCTTTTTCACTAACAAAAGAACAGCCTGAAAGATCAGACTTCAAGCATAGATAAGGAGGCAAGGTCCACCATAAAGATGCCTTCTGTGTAACTAGCAAGGGTCACATATACACAGTGGGCTTCAGTGAGCACATTTGTTTCCTTTTTTGGACATACTCAGATAAGGGAGTTTGCACAGGGGAAGGGGGAGGGGGAGTTGCTTGAAACATGTATAAGAGGAGTAACACAGAACCCAGCAATGGGGAATTCTGCCCCCTTACATACATTCACTAAGGTAAATTAAACAACATGGGGTAACTTAGGCTAAGCGTTCACATGTGCACTAAAAGGACAGGGAGGAGCTGTCAGGAATTCACACTTCATGCAAATGAAACACCTACCCCCAACCAGTTTTTACAGCCTTATATAAATGAAATATCTTGCCCTAGTAGCCTCTTTATAAGAGACTTAGTATTTGACTATAAAATGGCAACCCTCTTTTGGGCCACCCCTCCACGATGGAGAGCTTTCTTCTTTCGCTTATTAAACTTTTACTCCAACCTCATCCTTTCTGTCTATGCACCTTAATTTTCTTGGTCATGAGACAAAGAACTCTGGGTGATACCTCATGAGAGACTACTACGTTGTGGTGCATTGGTGAGACTGCAACAAACGTATTCAGAAATTTTAAAAATAGTCAAACAGATAAAAATCATAATATTTCTTTTATTGCTGATAAAGCATAGTTTGCATGACACAGCTTAGGTACAGGGTAACAATAGAGTTTTGAATTACAAAACAAGAAATAGGCAGGCTCACCTGAGTATAAGCAGCATGGAACACTACAGTCTTGCCCAGGTGGGGCCTGACTCTTTAAACAGCTTGCAGGGGCAGATCAGAACGGGTGCTTTCTACAGGTAGCCAGCTCCAAAGAGCGAAGGGGCTGAACTATATATTCCTGGTTTCTCTCCCAAACTCATCAATGGTAAGTCACACTTCGGTTTCTGGAGAAGAGTGAGAGGACAGAGATAAACCCAGAATTTAAAGCTAATGGAATTGCCTGAAATAAAGCAGCCATGGGGAAGAAGTGTTCTCTCCTGACATTTCCCCAGTTTTTTATCTCTTAGCCATTTCAGCTTAATGATTCAGATGACAATCAATGTAAGGTGTGGTTATTTCCTTTAGAGGAAGAGATCAGCAGTTTCTACCAATGGTCCTCCTCCCACCTTCATGAGGCTACTGCACCATGCAAACTTCTTCTCTTGTGGGAATCCACCTGAGCCCCTTGATAGGCAGTGTTAATTTTGCCCTGAAAATGCACTCAAATGCTCCTGAGCAACTCCTCAATTAACATAATTCTCAGGCCACTCACTCCAAGACCGAAAATTTTCTCCTTATTCTATTTCTCATCCATATTATGTCCAGTAACATTTCCCACAAAAGCCTACCAGAAGGACTTCCAGTTTTACCTCCAACATGTAAGGAGCTTGGAAGTCATCACACCCATCTTTACAACAAGAAAAAGCTAAATAAACTGAAAGTCAAAGACTTTTTTTGGACCAATAAGAGAACTGAGGTCACAGGGAAAATCATCACCCTCAAATCTGGAAAGACAGGTGAATCCAGAGATTCACAGACAAGAGATGCATTATTAATATTTAATCAAAATATTAATCAACATTAACAGGGAAGACAAATACAAGGACATTAGAGGAATCTGAAGCCTCTAACACCTATAATATTATACCTATAACTACAGCAAAAACTAAACACACTGCCACTTTTAGTCAGATTAACACAGAACCTCACACCAACAGCCTTTTTAACCTCAGTTTGTATTATTCAAGATATCATATCTGGCTTTCAACAAAAAAATTCCAAGTCATGCTAAAAGGCAGGAAAAACACAGTCTAAACAGAAAGCAACCAGCAGCACCAGATTCAGATATAACACAGATGTTCTAATGATCAGGAAGGGAATTTAAAATAACTACGATTAATATGTGAAGGGTTCTGATGGCAAAAATAGACTACATACAAGAACAAATGAGTAGTATAAGCATAGAGATGGACACCCTAGAAAGATTCAAAAGGAAATACTAGAAATCAAAAACACTGAAGAATATCTTTGAGAGGTTCATCAGGACATGAGACAGGGCCAGGGAAATAATCAGTGAGCTTAAAGATAAATCAATTAAAACTTCCCAAGCTGAAGTACAAAGAGAGAAAAGAATGAAAAAATTAAAACCCAGAACAAAGCAACCAAGAGCTGTGAGATAATTTCAAAAGTTGTAACATAGGTGTAAATAGAATACCACGAGAAGAAAGACAGAATAGAGCAAAAAAATATTGCAAGTAATAATGGCTGAGAGTTTTCCAAAATTATTCACAGACAACATACCACAGATCCAGGAAACTCAGAGAAGACCAAGAAAGATAAGAATCAAAAAATCCACACCTAGACATTTCATATTCAAACTGCAGGAAACCAAAGACAAAGAAAAAATCTTGAAAGAAATCAGAAAAAAATCACCTTACCTATCTTTAGAAGAATACAGATAAGAATTATAGTAAACTTCTCATCAGAAAAAAATACACAAGCAAGATGAGAGCAGATTGTAATACTCAATGTGTTGAAAGGAACATAATCTAGAATTCTATATCCAGTCAAATTATCCTTCAAAAGCAAGGGAGAAATAAAGACTTTCACAGAGAAGGAAAAACTGAGGGAACTCCCTAATAGCAGATTTGAATGACAATAAATGTTTTATTTTAAAAGTGTGTCATAGAAAAAAAGTGAAAAATGACATGGATCAGAGACTTGGGTCTGCATAAAGCAAGAACATTAGAGAAAGAATAAATGAAAGTAAAATAAAAGTTTTTAGTTTTTTATTCTTAATTGATCTAAAAGGTAACTACTTAATGGATAAGACAGACAGCATATTGGGTGAGTACAGCGTATGAATAAGTGAAGTGAAAGACAGCAATGTCATGAGACAGGAAGCAGGAATTGGGAATATTCTAAGATACTTGTGGTACATGTGATATAGAATAATGTTATTTAAAGGTAGAGTTAAATTAGTTAAAAATGTATACTGGAAACTCCAGTGCTACCGCTAAAAGCATTTTTTAAAGTAATATAACTGACATGTTAAGAGAAGAGATAAAGAGAAAGCATATTGGCTGGGAGCGGTGGCTCACGCCTGTAATCCCAGCACTTTGGGAGGTCAAGGTGGGCAGATCACGAGGTCAAGTTGGTAGGACTGTAAACTAGTTCAACCCTTGTGGAAGTCAGTGTGGCGATTCCTCAGGGATCTAGAACTAGAAATACCATTTGACCCAGCCATCCCATTACTGGGTAAATACCCAAAGGACTATAAATCATGCTGCTATAAAGACACATGCACACGTATGTTTATTGCAGCACTATTCACAATAGCAAAGACTTGGAACCAATCCAAATGTCCAACAACGATAGACTGGATTAAGAAAATGTGGCACATATACACCATGGAATACCATGCAGCCATAAAAAATGATGAGTTCACGTCCTTTGTAGGGACATGGATGAAACTGGAAATCATCATTCTCAGCAAACTATCGCAAGGACAAAAAACCAAACACCGCATGTTCTCACTCATAGGTGGGAATTGAACAATGAGAACACATGGACACAGGAAGGGGAACATCACACTCTGGGGACTGTTGTGGGGTGGGGGGAGGGGGGAGGGATAGCATTAGGAGATATACCTAATGCTAAATGACAAGTTAATGGGTGCAGCACACCAACATGGCACATATGTATACATGTATACATATGTATACATGTATACATATGTAACAAACCTGCACATTGTGCACATGTACCCTAAAACTTAAAGTCTAATAATAATAATAAAGAGATGGAGACCATCCTGGCCAACATGGTGAAACCCTGTCTCTACTAAAAATACAAAAATTAGCCAGGCATGGTGGTGCACGCCTGTAGTCCCAGCTACTCGGGAGGCTGAGGCAGGAGAATTGCTTGAACCAAGGAGTCAGAGGTTGCAGTGAGCCGAGATCATGCCTTTGCACCCCAACTTGGGCAACAAGTGTGAAACTCCATCTCAGAAAAAAAAAAAAAGAAAGAAAACATTAATTAAAACCAAAGAAGGCAGACAAGGTGGAAAAGGGAAGAAACAAAGACCAAATGCAATGAATAAAAAAGTTACAAACAAGGTGGGTATTAGTCCAACTACGTCAAAGTTACTTTTAATGGGATTAGTCTAATACACCAATTAAAGGAGATTGTCAAAATGATTTTTTTAATAAGACCCAAATAACTGTTGTCTATAAGGAACCCACCTTAAATATAAAGACTCAGATAGGCTAAGAGTAGAGGGATAGAGAAAGACATACGTACTGACACGATTCAAAAGAAAGCTGGAGGCCGGCCATAGTGGCTCAAACCTGTAATCCCAACATTTTGGAAGGCCAAGGCAGAAGGATCACTTGAGGCCAGGAGTTCAAGACCAACCTGGACAACATAATGAGACATCTTGTACCTAACAATGAAACATTGAAATATGTAAGGCAAAAACTGATCGAACTGGGAGAAATAGACAAGTCCACTATTACATTTAGAGAATCTAACATCTGTCTTTCAGTAATTGATAGAACAAACTGGCAGAAAATCAGTACAAATATAGTTGGCTTGGAGAGTACTATCAGTCAACTTCATCTAACAGACATTTATAGACTATTCTACCTAGCAACAGCAGAATACTTATTCTTTTCAACTTCACATGGAAAATTCAGCAAGACAGAACAGATTCTTGGCTGTAAAGCACATCTTAAAATTTTTTAAGAAATAAATTCCACAGAAGTGTGTTCTTTGGTCACGGCGGAATTAAACTAGATTATCAAGAACAGCAGAATAGTTGGGAAATCCCCAGATATTTGGAGATTAAGCAAGACACATCTAAATAATAATGAGTCAAAAAATAAGACTCAAGAGAAATTAAAAATATTTTTGTCTAAATTAAATTTAAAATAAAATTTGTCAACATTTATGGAATGTAGTGAAACATGTATGCATTAAGTGTATATATTAGAAAAAGAAGAAAAATCTAAAATCAATCATCTAAGTTTTCACTTTGCAAAACTAAAGAAGGTAGAGCAATTTCCACCTAAAACAGAAATAAGAAATACTAAAAATTAAAACAGAAATAATAAAATTGAAGACAAGAAAACAATTAAAAAATTAACAAATCAAAAAGCCAGTTCTTTGCAAATTTCAATAAAATCAATAAACCACTAGTTAGGCTAATCAAGAAAAAAAGAGAGAAGACACAAATTGCAAATATCAGAAATTGAAGAAGGATTGTCACTACTGTGTCCATGGACATTAAGAAGGGTCATAAAGAAATATCCACAAATTTGATAATTTAGATGAAATGTACTAGTTCTTTGAAAGACACAAACCACCACCCTAGGAGAAATAAATAATCTAAATTGACCAAATCTATTAAATAAATTGAACTAATAATTAATAACCTTCCATAGAAAGAAAGTGTCTGCCCAGATTAGTTTATTGGTTAATTGTACTAAGCAGTTAAGAAATAAACGATACAATTATCCACACTCACTTCTAGAAATGAGAAGCAGAGGGAACACTTTCTAACTCATTCTATAAGGTCAGCATTACTTTAATATCATAACAAGATAAAGCTATCACAGAAAGAACTACAGACTAATAGATCTTATGAACATAGATTAAAAATCCTCAATAAAATATTAGCTAATTGAATCCAACAATGTATTTTTTTAAAAAACTATACACCAGAAACAAGTGAGATTTATTCTAAGTATGCGAGACTGATTCAACATTTAAAAATCAACCAATGTAAGCCACCACATCAGCAGGCTAAAGAATAAAAATCAATCATCTTACCAATTGATGCAGAAAAGCATTTGACAAAATCTAATGCCTATTCATAATAAAAACTTCCAGGAATATTAGAGAACTTCCTCAACTTGATAAATAATATCTATAAAAACCTATTGTAACAGCATACTTAATAGTAAGAAATTGGATGCTTTTCCCCTAAGTTCAGGAACAAGACAAGATGTCTTCTCCCAACATTCTATTCAACATGGTACTGGAAGGCCTAGCTAGCAAAAAGATAAAAGGAAATAGAAGGTATACGGATCGGGTTGGAAGAAATAAAACTGCCTTTGTTTGCAATAACATGATTGTCTATGTAGAAAATCTGAAAAAATCAACCAAAAAAAAAAAAAATCCTGGAGCTAATAAGGGAGTGTAGCAAGGTTGCAGGATAGAAGGTTAATATACAAAAGTCAATCTTGCCTTTCATACATACCAGCAATGAGCACTTGAAATTCTAATTTTTAATACCAACTACAAATGGCAAAAAAAATGAAATCAAGTTTATCAAATATGTTCAACAGTGAACTTAAAACTCAACAAGATGAAAATAAACAATTCTATTACAAAATGTGCAAAAGTTTTAAACTGTTTATTTTCATCTTGTTGAGTTTTAAGTTCAAAGTGAACTGATGGGATTTATTTTCCTATGATATTCACTTAAACTTAAGATGGGACATCTTAAGAACAAACTTAGGTGACTGTCATAGGAAGTTGATATCAGTAACTTACTGATCTGCTAAAAGAACATATTACTCACAAAATCTTGTCTGCTTTCATACTCTTGAGATGGATGACGCCACCCATGAGGCAATCTTTTCCCTTTAATCTGCCCCCCTCCCTGGCTGCACCCACTTCTTAAGGCTGAGCACCTGACCTGGACCTACTGAGGCACTCTTGGTGCCCCATATGTGCACCTAGATAGTTCAAGTTCAACTTGTGACAAGCTGCACTCTAAGACTCACTTGTTCAGCCCCTCCTAAGACTTTCACTTTTGCTTAAGGTACTAAATACTGAGGATTCTCTCACTCAATCCCCATTCTATACTTATAATTAAAAAGGTTAGAAGCTGCAACCACAATCTACTAGACTCCCTTGAAGCAAGGGTTCTTGATGCAAATTAGGTTCCACCAATTAGATGAACTCTTGTGAGACTGGAAAAATAAACATAAGGCAGATGTTATCTTCTATGACTATTAGCTGGTGTTTCTTGACCAAAAAAGTTTGGAACTGTGCATCTTCCTTGAACAGAATTTCAGTGTTCATTTTCTAGTTTTCTAAGTATGAAAAGCAAGTATAGTGGTGACAGTAGCTTCCTACTTCTAAGCATAACTCTTAAGTGTGATATCGGAGGTAGAAGCATTCTCAGTGGACTAGCAGTATATCGTCCTGCAAATTTTCTTAGAGACCCAACTGAGAACCTAATTATTTTAGCCCTTCCAATAACATTCAAATCACCTATATACTTCACCAATTCTAAGATTTATGTTGTTTTTTCCTATTTTATCTTTTTGAATTTGGAATACATTTTGGAATCAATGGCATTAGTACAATTGCTGTTAACTATGTAACATTCATGAAACAATTTTTTTAAATTCTTCCACTGATAAGTTCTATAAAGATCAAGAAAACACTAGCATCAACACACCTTAGTTCTAATGAAAGAGGCAATTTCAAATATAAATCTCATTACATTTTCTTAGACTATTTTGTATTTTCTGTCCTAGACTATGAATAAGAGTGGGTAAGACTCATACATCATTTGCTCAAAGTCTCATGAGTACTGCTCTATCTCTATAACATCTTTTTTCCCGGGTAAAAAGAGCTTCTTGCTTTGGGAAAAAACATCTTAAGTTGTAGTGAACTGTCAGTGTAAAAATCTAATATGACTAGTGCTTAATTGTAAAGCTGCCCGACTGGGTTATAACAGTTAAAAATGGACACTTAGCTGTAAAATGCAGCCACATGGAACAAGATGAATTGTGGCAAAGTTCAAAAACCCAATTTGAAAAAGCAACATCAAACTAAAAACATGCTAGACAAAGTCATTTTGCTCACCTAGAGCTATCTCTCAATATTGCTGACGAATTCACAAGTAGCTGGTGTTTTTTTGTGTGGGGGTGGGCAATAAACAGCATCCATTTTCCCTGCCCAAGTTATAGATTATTTGTAAAATAGTGCCAAAAAATTTTATAAGGACAGATTAAGAAAGATCAAGATATTAGTTTCATCATTAGTAAAGTCCTGATCATAGAACTTGGCTTATGCATGTAGCAAAAATGGGCTTCCTAGTACTAAAACCCAGAATGAAACAGATTTACCACTTGCTACAGACAGCACTAGACAACCTCATTACTCCAAACATAGGGCTCTGCCCCTTAAACATACTGCATGAAATGTGGTTTTTGCAGGCAGCAGTCTCCCAAGAGTAAGGAAGAAAAATGAAGTGAGATTGATGTTCCCTGTTACTTTCTAAATCTCAACAATGTTCACAAAATAAGAAAAAAGGAGAGAAGCAAATAAACAAGAACATAGGCTAAAATCTCAGGAAACTGTAATCTTCATAAGGGCAGAAACTTTGTCTGTTTTGTTTAACACCATATTCTTGGCACTACCTGAGCAAACCACTTCCAGGTACTTAGTGAAGCTCAATAATATTAGCTGAATGCTTATTATAATAGGGATGCAAAAAAGGTAGATTCATGTCAGCCTCTTTCTTCATGAAAGTAGGCTAAATACAGAATAAGTAAGCAAATTGTTTAGCAACATCATTTTTTCCGTGAAAAATATCACTAGGAAATAACATTATTTACCCAGAGGAGGTGGCACACAGTTCAACTCCTCTTTAATCCCTTACCTCTTCCTGTTGTCAGTAAACTTCATTAAGTCAAGAAGGACCCAAAGAATTTTATAAAAACTTCTCCTGGCCTCAACAACCCCCAAATCCTTCTGCCTGACCAATAGTCCTGGGCTCTATGCAGATTTAGCCACTTTAAAAAGTACACTTAAACACAATTTAATCTTTTATTTATTGATTACACACAAGAATTAAAGGCATATACAAATGAAGAGGAAAAAAAATTATCCAGGCATGGTGGCATGCCTGTAGTCCCAGCTAATCAGGAGGCTGAGGTGGGAGGATCACCTGACCACGAGAAGTCATGGCTACAGTGAGCCATAATTGCACCACTGCACTTTAGTCTGGGGGACAGAATAAGACCCTGTATCAAAAAAAAAAAAAAAAAAGGAAATGATAGCCTTCACATTACCAGCAAAGCTGCCAGGATATAATTAAATATTAAAAGTCTTTACACATAGGCCCTGAATGGGGACAGAGATCTACTGGGAACTCTTAAACAGTGTGAACTCTTTGTATTTTAAAGTGTTTTGCTGATTGTCAGCTTAAATTTAGTTAAAGTTCAAGATAACTTAATCTAAAAGGTTGCAATATCATTTGTCCATTCGGATGTGAGAATAAAGATAGAATGAAACTGGAAAAACATGATGTTGGGCTTTTTGCTCTGTTTTAGTTTTGCTCTTTTTCACTGTGACTATTTGTAATAGATCTGTTTAAATTTTGAAATAATATCAGGGTAAAAATGTAATAACGCCGCTTCTATCTATTGATGACTAGAAGTAAGATTAATTCCACATGTAAATTGCCTGATTACCTTAGCAATATTTGATATCAAATGGCCAATGCATACCAATTTGCTTAGCTATGTTGATACAGCTGACATTTCCATTTTTTTTAAATTAATATTTCCTGGCCTTCAATTTTCTGGAAAATGTTTCTTTTTAAAATGCTCATAGGAATTCATTAGTGAAGTCACCTGGGCCTGGAGTTTTCTTTGCGAGAGGGTTTTTAATTAAAATTTTAATTGCTTTAATAGATACAGGGATATTCAAGTTGTCTATATTTCATATATATACACACACACATTATGTTCAGGGATACATGTGCAGAGCATGCAGGTTTGTTACATAGGTATACACTTGTCATGGTGGTTTGCTGCACCCATCAACCCATCATCTACATTAACTATTTCTCCTAATGCTATCCCTCCCCTAGCCCCTCACCCCCTGACAGGCCCCAGTATGTGATGTTCCCCTCCCTGTGTCCATGTGTTCTCATTATTCAACCCCCACTTATGAGTGAGAACATGTTTGGTTTTCTCTTCCTGTGTTAGTTTGCTGAGAATTATGGTTTCCAGTTTCATCCCTGTCCCTGCAAAGGACACGAACTCATCCTTTCTTGTGGCTGCATAGTATTCCATGGTGTATATGTGCCATATTTTCTTTACCCAGTGTATCATTGATGGGCATTTGGGTTGGTTCCAAGTCTTTGCTATTGTGAATAGTGCTGCAATAAACATACATGTGCATGTGTCTTTATAGTAGAATGATTTCTAATCCTTTGGGTAGATACCCAGTAATGGGAATTTCTGGGTCAAATGGTATTTCTGGTTCTAGATCCTTGAGGAATCGCCACACTGTCTTCCACAATGGTTGAACTAATTTACACTCCCACTAACAATGTAAAAGCGTTCCTATTTCTCCACATCCTTTCCAGCATCTGTGGTTTCCTGACTTTTTAATGATCGCCATTCTAGCTAGCATGAGATGGTATCTAATTGTGGTTTTGATTTGCATTTCTCTAATGACCAGTGATAATGAGCTTTTTTTCATACATTTATTGGCTGCATAAATGTTCTTTTCAGAAGTGTCTGTTCATATCTTTTGCCCACTTTTTGATGGGGTTGTTTGTTTTTTTCTTGTAAATTTGTTTAAGTTCCTTGTAGATTCTAGATATTAGCCCTTTGTCAGATGGATAGATTGCAAAATTTTTCTGCCATTCTATAGGTTGCCTGTTCACTCTGATGGTAGTTTCTTTTTCTGTGCAGAAGCTCTTTAGTTTAATTAGATCCCATTGGTCTATTTTGGCTTTTGTTGCCATTGCTTTTGGTGTTTTAGTCATGAGGTCTTTGCCCATGCCTATGTCCTCAATGGCATTGCCTAGGTTTTCTTCTAGGGTTTTTATGGTTTTAGGTCTTACATTTAAGCCTTTAATCCATCTTGAGTTAATTTTTGTATAAGTAAGGGGTCCAGTTTCAGTATTCTGCATATGGCTAGCCAGTTTTCCCAACACCATTTATTAAATAGGGAATCATTTCCCCATTGCTTGTTTCTCTCAGGTTTGTAGGTGTCTGGTGTTATTTCTGAGGCCTCTGTTCTGTTACACTGGACTATATATCTGTTTTGGTATCAGTACCATGCTGTTTTGGTCACTCTAGCATTGTAGTATAGTTTGAAGTCAGGTAGGGTGATGCCTCCAGCTTTGTTCTTTTTGCTTAGGATTGTCTTGGCTATATGGGCTGTTTTTGGTTCCATATGAAATTTAAAGTAGTTTTTCTAATTCTGTGAAGAAAGTCAATGGTAGCTTGATGGAGATAGTATTGAACCTTTAAATTACTTTGGGTAGTATGGCCATTTTCAAGATATTGATTCTTCCTATCCATAAGCATGGAATGTTTTTCCATTTGTTTGTGTCCTCTCTTATTTCCTTGGGCAGTGGTTAGTAGTTCTCCTTTAAGAGGTCTTTCACATCCTTTGTAAGTTGTAATCCTAGGTGTTGTATTCACTTTGTAGCAATTGTGAATGGGAGTTTGCTCATGATTTGGCTCTCTGTTTGTCTATTATTGGTGTATAGGAATGCTTGTGATTTTTGCACATTGATTTTGTATCCTGAGACTGTTGAAGTTGCTTATCAGCTTAAGGAGATTTTGGGCTGGGGCAAAGGGATTTTCTAAATATACAATCATGTCATCTGCAAACAGTGTGGTTTTCTAAATATACAATCATGCCATCTGCAGACAGAGACAATTGGACTTCCTCCCTTCTTATTTGAATACTCTTTATTTCTTTCTCTTGCCTGATTGCCTTGTTCAGAACTTCCAATTCTATGTTGAATAGGAGTGATGAGAGAGCATCCTTGTCTTGTGCCAGTTTTTAAAGGGAATGCTTCCAGCTTTTGCCCATTCAGTATGATATTGGCTATGGGTTTGACATAAATAGTTCTTATTATTTTGAGATATGTTCCATCAATACCTAATTTATTGAGGGTTTTTAGCATGAAGGGGTGTTAAATTTTATTGAAGGCCTTTTCTGCATCTATTGAGATAATCATGTGGTTTTTGTCATTGGTTCTGTTTATGTGATGGATTACGTTTACTGATTTGTGTATGTTGAACCAGCCTTGCATTCCAGGGATGAAGCTGACTTGATCATGGTGAATAAGCTTTTTCATGTGCTGCTGAATTTGGTTTGTCAGTATTTTATTGAGGATTTTCACACCGATGTTCATCAGGGATATTGGCCTGAAATTTTCTTCTTTTGTTGTGTCTTCTGCCAGGTTTTGGTATCAGGATGATGCTGGCCTAATTAAATGAGTTAGGGAGGAGTCATTCTTTTTCTATTGTTTGGAATAGTTTCAGAAGGAATGGTACCAGCTCCTCTTTGTACCTCTGGTAGAATTTGGCTTGAATCCATCTGGTTCTGGGCTTTTTTTGTTTGGTAGGCTATTAATTACTGCCTCAATTTCAGAACTTGTTACAGGTCTATTCAGGGATTCAACTTCTTCCTGGTTTAGTCTTAGGAGGGTGTATGTCTCCAGGAATTTATCCATTTCTTCTGGATTTTCTAGCTTATTTGTGTAGAGGTGTTTATAGTATTCTCTGATGGTAGTTTGTGTTTCTGTGAGATCAGTGGTGGTATCCCCTATGTCATTTTTTGTTTTGACTATTTGATTCTTTTTTCTTCTTTATTAGCCTGGCTAGCAGTCTATCTATTTTGTGAATCTTTTCAAAAAAACAGCCCTGGATTCATTGATTTTTTTGAAAGGTTTTTAATGTCTCTATCTCCTTCAGTTCTGCTCTGATCTTAGTTATTTCTTGCCTTCTGCTAGCTTTTGAATTTGTTTGCTCTTTCTTCTCTAGTTCTTTTAATTGTGATGTTAGGGTGTCAATTTTAGATCTTCCCACTTTCTCTTGTGGGCATGTAGTGCTATAAATTTCCCTCTAGGATCTAGAACTAGAAATACCATTTGACCCAGCAATCCCATTACTAGGTATCTACCCAAAGGACTATAAATCACGCTGGTATAAAGACACATGCACACGTATGTTTATTGCGGCACTATTCACAATAGCAAAGACTTGGAACCAACCCAAATGTCCAACAATGATAGACTGGATTAAGAAAATGTGGCACATATACACCATGGAATACTATGCAGCCATAAAAAATGATGAGTTCATGTCCTTTGTAGGGACATGGATGAAATTGGAAATCATCATTCTCAGTAAATTATCGCAAGAACAAAAAACCAAACACCACATATTCTCACTCATAGGTGGGAATTGAACAATGAGAACACATGGACACAGGAAGGGGAACATCACACTCTGGGGACTGTTGTGGGGTTGGGGGAGGAGGGAGGGATACTTTTAGGAGATATACCTAATGCTAAATGACGAGTTAATGGGTGCAGCACACCAGCATGGCACATGTATACATATGTAACTAACCTGCACATTGTGCACATGTACCCTAAAACTTAAAGTATAATAATAATAAAATAAAATAAAATAAAATAAATAAATAAATAAATAAATAAATAAATAAATAAATAAAATTGCAGACGCAAGATGCAGACGTGGGGACAATTAGGAATCAGTTCAGCACAGTGGGTAATAAAGTGCTGTCTTATGTGGCATGGGAAAATCTTTGAATAAAAATCACCCTTTGGTCTTCTCTAAACAGAAAAAAAAAATAAAATAAAATAAAATAAAATAAGTAAATAAATTTCCCTCTAAACACTGCTTTAGCTGTGTCCCAGAGATTCTGGTACATTGTGTCGTTCTCATTGGTTTCAAAGAACTTATTTATTTCTGCCTTAATTTGGTTATCTACCCAGTAGTCATTCAAGAGCAAGTTGTTCGGTTTCCATGTAGTTGTGTGGTTTTGAATGAGTTTCTTAATCCTGAGTTCTAATTTGATTGCACTGTGGTCTGAGAGACTGTTATGATTTCCATTCTTTTGCATTTGCTGAGGAGTATTTTACTTCCAATTATGTGGTCAATTTCAGAATAAATGTGATGTGGTGCTGAGAAGAATGTATATTCTGTTGATTTGGGGTGGAGAGTTCTGTAGATGTCCATTAGGTCTGCTCAGTCCAGAGCTGAGTTCAAGTCCTGAATATCCTTGTTCATTTTCTGTCTTGTTGATCTGTCTAATATTGACAGTAGGATGTTAAAGTCTCCCACTATTATTGTGTGGGAGTCTAAGTCTCCTTGTAGAACTCTAAGAACTTGCTTTATGAATCCGAGTGTTCCTGTGTTGGGTGCATATATATTTAGGATAGTTAGCTCTTCTTGTTGCATTTATCCCTTTACCATTATGTAATGCCCTTCTTTGTCTCTTTTGATCTTTGTTGGTTTAAAGTCTGTTTTATCAGAGGCTAGGATTACAACCCCTGCTCTTTTTTTCACTTTCCATTTGCTTGGTAAATATTCCTCCATCCCTTTATTTTGAGCCTATGTGTGTCTTTGCACATGAGATGGGTCTCCTGAATACAACACACTGATGGAGCTTGACTCTTTATCCAATTCGCCAGTCTGTGTCTTTTAATTGGGCCATTTAGCCCATTTACATTTAAGGCTAATATTGTTATGTGTGAATTTGATCCTGTCATTTTGATGCTAGCAGGTTATCTTGCCTGTTAGTTGATGCAGTTTCTTCATGGTGTCAATGGTCTTTACAATTTGGTATGTTTTTGCAGTGGCTGGTACCAGTTTTTCCTTTCTGTATTTAGTGCTTCCTTCAGGAGCTCTTGTGAGGCAAGCCTGGTAGTGACAAAATCTCTCAGCATTTGCTTCTCTTTAAAGGATTTTATTTCTCCTTCATTTATGAAGCTTAGTTTGGCTGTATATGAAATTCTGGGTTGAAAATTCTTTTCTTTAAGCATGTCGAATATTGGCCCCCACTCTCTTCTGGCTTGTTGGGTTTCTGCCAAGAGATCTGCTGTTAGTCTAATGGGCTTCCCTTTGTGGGTAAGCTGACCTTTCTCTCTGGCTGCCCTTAAAATTTTTTCCTTCATTTCAACCTTGGTGAATCTGACAATTACATGTCTTGGGGTTGCTCTTCTTGAGGAGTATCTTTTTGGTGTGCTCTGTATTTCCTGAATTTGAATGTTGGCCTGTCTTTCTAGGTTGGGGAAGTTCTTCTGCATAATATCTCAAAGAGTGTTTTCCAACTTGGTTCCGTTCTCCCAGTCACTTCAAGGTACACCAATCAAATATAGGTTTTGTCTTTTCACATAGTCCCATGATTTTTGGAGGCTTCATTCAATTCCTTTTCATTCTTTTTTCTTTAATTTTGTCTTCATGTTTTATTTCATTAAGTTGATCTTCAATCTCTGATATCCTTTCTTCCACTTGATCAATTCAGCTATTGATACTACATGAAGTTCTTGTGCTGTGTTTTTCAGCTCTATCATGTCATTTATGTTCTTCACTAAATTGGATATTCCAGTTAGAAATGCCTCCAACCTTTTTTCAAGGTTCTTGTCTTCCTTGCATTGGGTTAGAACATGCTCCTTTAGCTCAGAGGAGTTTATTATTACTTACCTTCTGAAGCCTACTTCTGACAATTTCTCAAACTCATTCTCCATCCATTTTTGTTCCCTTGCTGGCAAGGAGTTGTGATTTTTTCTGGAGGGGAAGAGGCATTCTGCTTTTTGGAAATTTCAGCCTTTTTGAGCTGTCTTTTCCTCATCTTTGTGGATTTATCTATCTTTGGTCTTTGATGTTGGTGACCTTAAGATGGGGTTTTTGTGTGGATGTCCTTTTTGTAGATGTTGATGCTATTCCTTTCTGTTTGTTACTTTTCCTTCTAACAGTCAGGCTCCTCTGCTGCAGGTCTGCTGGAGTTTGCTGGAGGTCCCCTCCAGACACCGTTTGCCTGGGTATCACCAGCGAAGGCTGCAGAACAGCAAAGATTGCTGCCTCTTCCTTCCGCTGGGAGCTTCATCCCAGAAGGGCAGCTGCCAGATGCCAGCCTGAGCTCCCCTGCTTGAGGTGTCTGTCAACCCCTGCTGGGATTTGTCTCCCCACGAAGAGGCACAGGGATCAGGGACCCACTTGAGGAGGTAGTCTATCCCTTAGCAGAGTTCGAGTGCTGTGCTGGGAGATCCACTGCTCTCTTCAGAGCTGGCAGGCAGGAACATTTAAGTCTGCTGAAGCTGTCCCCACAGCCACCCCTTCCCCCCAGGTGCTCTGTTTCAGGGAGATGGGAGTTTTATCTATAAGACCCTGACTGGGGCTGCTGCCTTTCTTTCAGAAATGCCCTGCCCAGAGAGGAGGAATCTAGAGATGCAGTCTGTCTATAACAGCTTTGCCAAGCTGTGGTGGGCTCCCACATCTAACATTTCATATCGTTTCATTGGGAATATTCATGTCTGTATTTGTCTTACCTTTTTACTGCTTATTAGGTCATAATGATTAGAAGATACTACTCTATTTTTTGACAGATTATATATACCACAAAACATAGTACCTGCATAAGTAAAAGCTTAATAAGTTGTATTTAAACTCTACAAACATTTCAAGGTAATTAAGTGTTTGAAAGGGTTTGATTTCTGCATAATTAATTTTCTCCACTAGCAAAAACACTTCAGTTACATGAAAACATCCTATTGCCTATACAACCTAAAAATCTACAAATGCTGTTACAAATCCAAGTACTGGTGCTTCTCAGCTTAAGTGTATTTGGACTTAAAATGGTAAAACTACAATGGCCCTTAAAAGGACCTTATAACATTGCTTGGGTAGATGATGGTCTGTTACTTAAAACACTGAGAAAAAAATGAGTTTGAGATCTCAAAAGTAGCCAATACGAGGTTCACAATAGACACGGAAAAGTCTCCCTAAATATCCAGCCCAGACAACCATCTTGAACTCTAGACCTATATTCTCAGTTGCCCCTTGAATCTCTCCCTAAGCCAATATATCTTCAATGATTTCACTAAAAAAATGGGCTCCTGTAATCTGAGGAATCAATCTGGCTCCCAGAAGCAAAGTTAGGATAGGGTCACTGATGAATACAAATGCACAGGTGTTATATATGTAAAGTTATTTACGCTGGTATGGCTTACACCCACTTGTGACCCTACTAAGGGCCAAAATCCCAGACTTTCCAGGCTATCCTGATGCCCAGCCCCATAGAGACTTCACAGACCACTTCTCAGATTAATAGAAGTTGGACAGGCCCGTGCGTATCTGTTCAGATCTGTCAATGGACATGTGACAACCTTTAATTCCATAGACATTTAAATATTAATTCATCCACATTGCTGGGAGGACTTCCAGGCTGAAAGATGTATCTATATGCTGCCCAAGAACCAGTCTTCTCCTCTTTCTAATTTCCTTTTCAGGCCAACTTCTTAAGGTCATATGCAAACCCAGGATGGCTGGGCAGCAGTGGCATAGAAAAAGCTTCTTTATGCACTATGTTGCATGCAGTTTACTACACATTATATTTACATATTATGTTGCTGTTGCATCACATCTAATCTGAAAAATACTAATACATTTTGCTTTGGTGATTGTGAGTTGATGTTATTGCTTTAGCTACACAGTACAGGGAAAATTCAACCCATGTCATCTGGTGGCTTAGGTAAATCTTTGAAAAAATGGCCTCTAAAAAAGCAGTGAATCAGAACACCCTCTCTCAAAAGTGTTCCTCTTCCTGTGCTCCCTAAAGTGGTGAAAGACAATGCCATTCACCCTGTTTCCTGAGCCAGAAGACTGCAGGGCACCCTAAATTACTACCTCTCCCATTTGTTTATTTAGTTAGTTAGTTTGAGATAGGGTCTCACTGTGGTTGCCCAGTCTGGGGTACAGTGGCACCATCTCAGCTCACTGAAGCCTCAGCCTTCTGGGCTCAGGTGATTCTCCCATCTCAGACTACTGAGTAGCTGGGACTAGAGGTGTACACCACCACACCCAGCTAATTTTTTGTATTTTTAGTAGAGATGAGGTTTCACCGTGTTGGCCAAGCTGATCTCAATCTCCTGAGCTCAAGCGATCCGCCCACCTCAACCTCCCAAAGTGCTGGGATTACAGGCATGAGCTACCATGACCAGCCCTGCCTCTTTTTTACACGTGCATGAAATTAGAGATAAAGTCCAATCAAAGTAACTCTTAAATAACTCTAAAATCCATTTCCGCACTAGCATCACCAGTACCACTGCCTCCTCAGTCTGAATTACTTCCATAGCCTGCTTAGTCATGTCCCTCTTCAAGGTGACCTAAAATGCCAATCTCATCATGTCAGCCCTAGTCAATGACTCTCCATTGCCTTTGTAATAGAGTCCACAGGTTCTAATTACACAGCTTTTGCTGAGTGCTCTAGCCTCACTTGTTATCTCTTTTCTCCTCACATCCCTTTCCTTCAGTTATCCCAACAAAACATATCACACACATATTCTTTGGATAAACTACCCTCATGCTCCCTCTCCCACAGCTTAAGATTTCTTTAAAACTCAAGATCAGTGCTTCTCCAGGAACTACTTAAAAGTTCCAACACCCTCTGAACCAGGGCCACCCCCCACACCAAATTTATGTTATGTCTCTCTCTTCAGACTTCCTGCCCTATGCTCCCATCTCTTCTGACACTTTACACTCTGGGTAATAATTGTTTACTTGTCTGTTTCCTGCAAGCAAGCCTATGAGTTACCTGAAGATGCAGTCTCATGTTTTTTCTCTCTGTGCCCGAGAATAGCCTCTGGCACATGGTGGACAGCAGATATTTGTTGAATGAATGAATGAGAAAAGTAAGCTCACATTCAAATTCATATCTAAAGTCCACAATGTTTTCACTGCATCATAATCATTCAGCTATGCGAATGGGATGACCGCAAACAGGCATTCAGGGGAGAATTAGGACAGAATTTATAAGCCCCATTTTGCCAGACTCTTTATATTTTTATATTTTGGCTGAAAGTGCAGGTGGCATCTAGTACTTATCCGCTGCAGCAGACAGATGGTTATTACACCATAATAGGCATGAACAAAGTATGCCCAAAATAGGAATGTAAAATTCAACCTTCAAAATCTGCAGAGTCCTTTGCCTGTTGATGAAGGGATTATAATCACATCAGGGGCATTGTAGGTGAAACAGAATCATAAACATGAAGCACAGAAGCAAGCTCCCTGCTTTGAGGTTTATGGATTTATATTCTGACAAATGAATATCGTTGATTTCTCAGGTACATGAGAAAAATAAAACCGCCGTGTGGAAATTTAAGTTCTAAAGCAACTGGTCTAAAAACTTTTAAAGCTTCATTGGGCCATTTAAGAAACATGAAATACAATTCAAAGGAACATTTCTAAGTATCTAAAATTTTTTCTTGTAACATTTCTCCAAAAATATGTGTATTAAAATTACCTGGGAGAATTTTTAAGTGAAAAAAATGAATAAAGACTCTTGGGTCTCATCCGAAATCTATTAAGTCAGAATCTTTTCAGGGCAGGGTCTAGTCCAATAGTTTTAAAGCTTCCTCCAGTAATTCTAATGGACTGGCCTTACCTCTGTGGGTTTTAATGGTGAACCATTTCTCCAAATTATTTTTTTCAATCTCGATACAGGTGCTTACATTACTGGACAGTTCTAGATGTGACATAGTAGTTGTACAATACTCCTATTTCTCAGACCGTTATTTTTAAGCTATGGATTAGGTTTTGAATGTTGTCAATTTTTGTTTTAACTTGTAAGAATAAAGAACTTATTGAACTGCAAGTTTGAAGAAAGATATGAGATGAAGTATATCACTATATGAGAGTATATATCTCCTGAAAGTTCAAGGACCGTATGTCAATATGTAAAACAAAAATAAATGTGACCTCTAATCTATACTTTGGCAGTTGTTCATTCATTATTAAGTCATTATTTGAATTTCCCATAAGACTAGACAAAACATCCCCAAGTTTGGTGACATAGAACTATGCCTTCTTACACATCAGAATGCCAACACCTGCTTGGCATAGAAGTTAGTGTCTTCCTAGGATCACCCCGCACCTTCAGTGACAGAGTCACGATTCCATAACACCAGCGACCTCCATATTACCCAATGTCCTTGCTCAGCCAGAGAGTACTAGAAACCAACCAGTACCTTCCCATCTGTTAAAAACCACCTCCACCTGGCCAGACCTGTCTGCCTCTGGGACAATATTCATCATTTCTAGACTAATTCCATCTGACTCTCCTGACTCTAATTGTTTAACCTTTGAAGTTCTCTGACAAATTTAAACATGGAAAGAGTCTTTCAGGTATGGCTATTTGGCAAATATTATAGGTTCCATGTATTTACCCATATTTGCAATTGAACTATGAGCAAGAAGGAGAAATTTAGTTTGGCCTCCTTGACTTTAGACTGTCTTCATACGCCTTTCTCATCTTGAGTTACTACTCTCAGAGACATATGTGTTTTAAAAGGTATTCAGTGTGTAACAGAAATAATGTGTGTCAATAAATAAGTGATAATTGTTTTTATGTAGTTTGATTTTCACAACTATCTGTGAAGTGTTTTTTAAAAATTATTTCCCAAATACAGAAAAGAAAATTGAGAGACACAAAAGTTAAACATGTTCCAAAAGTAGTAAGTGCAAAGCCGGAATTCAATCCTTGATCTTATAAGTCTTAGTCCAATGTTTTTTAAAACATCACTGCCACATGTAAGCAAATTCTATACACACAAACTCATTTATAAGATTATGTGATAGATGAACTCAGAAAACCAGATAGTTCCATGTAACAAACCCTTCTGTCTCAAATAAATCACTTGTGGAAAACCAATTTCACATGCAAAATTCAACTCTACTTTTCCGACGTCTGATTTTTCCTATATAATCTAAGCAAAGGCCAAGGATGCTGTTAAACATTCTAGGACACACTGTAAGACTTACACACACACAAACACATGAAGTATCTGAATAAAAATGTCAAATACTTTACTGCCCAGACTGGGAAGCTCTGTCTTACACCAAAGCTTCACCCAGTATGAGAAACAAAATTTGGATTCAACTGAGTCTTTTAAATTTTACTGTATTTCCAATTAGTCATTCCACTCCCTCCCTCCCTCCCTCCCTTCCTTCCTTCCTTTCCTTCTTTCTTTCTTTCCTTCTTTCCTTCTTTCTTTCTTTCTTCTTTCTTGACAGGGTTTCACTCTGTCACCCAGGCTGCAGGGCAGTGGTACAATTATGGCTCACTGTAGCCTCAGCCTACCAAACTCAACAAATCCTCCCACCTCAGCCTCCCAAGTAGCTGGGACTAAAGTCATGTGCCACCACACCCAGCTAACTTTTGCATTTTTTGTAGAGATGGGGTTTCGCCTTGTTGTCCAGGCTGGTCTTGAGCTTGTAGACTGAAGCAATCTGCCTATCTCGGCCTCCCAAACCTCTGCAACTACAGGCATGAGCCACTGTGCTTAGCCCTATTTATTTTAATATTTGTTGAGATCTCATATACCAGGTGCTCCACAGTTGATGTCAATACAGTGACAAAGACACATGGATCTTGTTCTCACAGAGCATAGGAAAGAATCTGCTCCATAACACAGAGGTGTGAAAAATATCCCTCTGTTTTCTAAATCAAACTAAATATGCCACTGAGTCCATTTAACAAAGTGTGGAAATTTTTTTTGGTTTTTCGTTTGTTTGTTCGTTTGTTTGTTTTTTGGTTTTTTTTTTTTTTTTTTTGGAGACAGAGTCTTGCTCTGTCACCCAGGCTGGAGTGCAATGGAGCAATCTCGGCTCACTGCAACCTCTACCTCCCAAGTTCAAGCGATTCTCCTGCCTCAGCCTCCCAAGTAGCTGGGATTACAGGCATGTGCAACCACGCCCAGATAATTTTTGTATTTTTAGTAGAGATGGGGTTTCACCATGTTGGCCTGGCTGGTCTAGAACTCCTGACCTCAGGTGAAAAGTGTGGGAAACTTAATCCCAATCTTCTTTGAGGGAGCCCTTCTCTCCCTGAGGTCTCACAATAATTTAAGAAGCTTTTATGATACTTAGAAAATGGAAGACAAGTCCTGGAAGAAAACAGAAGACAAATCTTTGGTATTAATTTTATTACTCTTTCTGCTACCATTGCTGCTGTTGAGTCCTGCTCCTTGTCATTTGCTATGTCCGGTATTCCTGCTCTCAGTGGTCCTTTCTACCAACCTCAGCCCTAGACAACACAGTCACCTTGTACCTCTCCCATCCAAAACATTGCACACAAGCTTTGAGGTGAAGCATTCTTAAACCTGTGGTCCTTTCTCAGTCTTGGAGACACTTACTCTTTCTTTAGTCCAAAGCACCTTTGCCTTTTCTTTCCTTGCTCTAGTCTCCTTCCTTTCTAGTGAACCCCAATCAAAATGTAAGTAAGGGTCATCTTCTGGGGGCATAGTAAATGCAGAGCAAGAAAAAAACTACGTCTGGTTCTTTTGATTCTTCTACGGTGGCTAAAACTTGCAGGTGACAGCTGCTTGTTGAAGGCACATTGTGTTAGTCTGTTTTGTGTTACCATAAAGAAGTATCTGAGGCTGGGTAATTTATAAAGAAAAGAGATTTAATTAGCTCATGGTTCTGCCAGCTGCACAGGAAGCATAGTGTCAGCATCTGCTTCTGGGGGTGCCTCAGGAAGCTTGCAATCATGGTAGAAGCAAAGGGGAGTCTGTGTGTCACATGGCGTATTAGTTTGTTCTCACACTGCTACAAAGAAATATCCAAGACTGGGTAATTTATAAAAGAAAGGGATTTAATTGACTCACAGCTCTACATGGCTGGAGAGGTCTCAGGAAAGTTACAGTCATGGTGGAAGGCAAAGGAGAAGCAAGTAGCTTCCACACAAGGCAGCAAGAAAGAGAAGAGAGCAGGGGAAACCACCTATTCTAAAACCATCAGATCTTGTGAGGACTCACTCACTATCACAAGAACAGCATGGAGGAAACTGCCACCATGATCCAATCACCTCCCACCAGGACCCTCCCTCATCACATGGGGATTGCAGTTAGAGATGAGATTTGGGTGGGGACACAGAGCCAAACCATATCACATGGCAAGAAGGGGAACAAGAGAGAAAGAGAAGAGATGCTACACTCTTTTAAACAACCAGATCTTGCATGAATTCATAGGGTGAGAACTCACTCATCACCATGAGTACAGCACCAAGGCATTCATGAGGGATCCCCCCTGATGACCGGAACACCTCCCAGCAGGCACCCCCTCCAACATTGGACAGCACATTTCAACACGAGATCTGGAGGGGACAAAACATTCAAACCATATCACACCTGGTGCTCTAGCACAGCACTGCATACCTGGAAAACCTGAAACTCTTGAGTCAGGGCACATAAAAGTGAGATTTGAAGTTTTCCCCTCTTTTCCAAGCAATTCCTAGAGTTCAAAAGATGAGAATTTTAACAGATACATCCAAAGTACATCAGACATAATTGTCACCCCCATTTTACTTAAGATTTATTTTTGAATTTTTGTTTTTCTCCAAGCCGTGGTATCAGAAGCACACTTGGGATTAAGCACATTTGGGATTCTGGCTTATTTAATATTAATAACATTCTTCAGTGGCCTAACACATATTTTCTCTCAGTGGTTTGGAATACATATGAGACTATCCTTTCTATAGGGAGAGAACAAAAAAAAAATCCTCAGAGGAGCTGCCAATGCAGTTAGGAAGTCTGTCTATTAGGAAGGAGATGACATTTGAGGTCAGCCACAGGCAAACGCGCTAAGTAGGTGACATGTGTCATGTAGCATTTTTAGCTTCCTGATTTATGTCCTTTTTCCTTTTTACTGTCCTTGTCTCCCTCTTGAGGCACTCAGATGCTCTATCTTCATACACTGATGATGCTTTGCTTTATCCAGCTCCCCCCCGACATCTGTCAAAACTCTCCAGAGATGTCCTAATAAATGCATCAACACTCAGGTATAAATGATTGATGTTGTTTAAATTAGAGCTACCCCAGGAATACCTGCATCGTTATTGACTTTCAGGCCTGATAGATAGGTGGAGGAGGACTGTGTTTAGACAGGAGGACTGTTCTACTGCTAAAAATCACACTGGCTCGTCCATGCCAAACCCAGTTCAAGTTAAATGTTTAGGTGGCCTGGGTTGACCTCTATTTGTATAGCTTTTAAAAAGGATTCAACATGTTTTAGTACCTACTGAAGAATCTCACCTAGAAAAACACCTGTTACAGTCAAATGAGATTATATAGATGAGTTAGTGGGTGCAGCGCACCAGCATGGCACATGTATACATATGTAACTAACCTGCACATTGTGCACATGTACCCTAAAACTTAAAGTATAATAATAATAAATAAATAAATAAAACACTTTTTAAAGCTAAAATTAATAAGATATTACTCTATACCAAATCTTGTTCTGTGACCTTTACCTTCAATTCTTTAATAAAGAATATATGCCTCAAAAATAGGCAGTATTATCTTTATTTCACAGATAAGAAAATAGAGGCAATGAGACGTTAAATTGTTTACTTAAGGTCAAAAAGCTAGGCTTACAGAAAGTTTGTAAACTATATTCTGCCATTATTATTATTATCAATATTATTCTCAGAGCTTGTCGAGTGAGGGATTGGGAAGGAGAGGGAATAACAAACAGCCTACTGTGCATGTTGTGCTACTTACTTTAAGGAAAAGTACAGGCAATGCAATTGCTGTAGCTAACACTTAGTAAGCCTGTTCTATGGCCCAGGTAGCCTGGGGAGAACTGAATATGTGTCATCTCCTTGACTGCTCTCAGGAGTCCTGGAAGTAGGTCCTGTTAGCCCCCTTAACTTAACAGATAAGAAAAGTTTAGTGATTACCCAAGGTCTACATATAGTAAGTTGTGTACCCAGGATTCCATCCCAGGTAGCCAGCCATGAATTGAGTACTCATTAAATTCCAACACTATATTAATAGCTTTATATACTTTATTCCATTTAATCCTCATGATATACCTATGAGGAATGTTGTATAGATGGGGAAAATGGGGTTTGGAGTGGTTAAACAATTTGCTCACATCTTCACAGCAAGTATGTGTTAGGGCTGAGATTTGAAGCCAGCGATGTGTGATCCTCAACTCAAGTTTTTCCTTGTTATGTTGCTCTGTTAAGAATAGCTAAGAACTATTTTGGGGTTCAGTTCCTTATTTATTTCTCTTTGTGCAGAAGTCACACATATGAGAAAGTTCTAGAATGCTGAAGCAGTGACAATAAAGTGTTGATTAGGGGACTGAGGAGCCACACTCAAAAGCCTCTCCTGTAGACTCTATGTCTATGTTCATTTCTTGTGACTCAGGAGCATTTTTCAAATGAATAGTCATAATAATAATTACCAATATGTTTATAAAACACATAGTACTTAAAAAGCAAAGATATCTATAGGTGAGGCCACATTGTTTGAGAATAACTATAGGTGAGGTCCTATTGTTTCTGACAGAAAAAGGAAGTGCCTGACTTTGCTCAGGAACACTGTGGTCCACAGAAGATGGTAGAAGGTGGCAGTCTTGAAATTTACTTTCCAAATTGCTAAACTGACATATTCAACTGTTACTTTGTAAGTGGAGACAGGACATGCTATTTTTGCATATGAAACTCAGGCCAGCTAGAGTAAAAGTATTTGCCTATTGTTTCTCTGGATATATTTGACTAAGATTATTTACCAAATTTGTAGCCAGTGCCCAAGGCCAAAACTAAAACACTTTGAAATCTGTCCAAGCAAGAAGATGACATACTGCTATGTTGGATGAGCAGTTGTGACAGTCAGAGCAGGTATAATGAAATTTGTAATAAATGATCACATGCTTTAATGAAGGGCATGACCTTTTATACATAGAAATTTCATGCTTATACCATTGGAATGAAAATTCTTGTTACTCGTTGTAGGAAAGAGACACATCTTGTTTAATTATATGTCAAGGACATTCTAAAGAAATGTTTTATGCAATTTCAAATCAAATCCTTACCAGTTTAGCTTTTCCAAAATAATCTATTAAACTAGCCTCATGACAGAGTTTTGGAAATGTCCTAGCCTAGCAAATTCACTGCCTAAGACATTACTGCAGTTTATCCTTAGATTCTAAGACCTCCTAGAAAAATTTCTCTTATCAGGGGAGCCCACCCCCAATATTTCAAAGTATGTTCTTTCTATTTTCCCTAACTGTCAGCTGGTCTGAGAAATAAAGAGAAAGAGTACAAAGAGAGGAATATTACAGCTGGGCCACCGGGGGTGACATCACATATTGGTAGGTCCATGATGCCCACCTGAGCTGCAAAACGAGCAGGTTTTTATTAAGGACTTTAAAGGTGGGGGGTGTACAAACAGGGAGTAGGTCACAAAGATCACATGCTTCTGAGGCCAATAAAGATCACAAGGCAAGGGGCAAAGCAAAGATCACAAGGCAAAGGGCAAAATTAGAATTACTGATGAGGGTCTATATTCAACTGTGCACGTATTGTCTTGATAAACATCTTAAACAACAGAAAACAGGGTTGGAGAGCAGAGAACTGGTCCAACCTCAAATTGACCAGGGCGGGATTTTTTCCCCACCCTAGTAAGCCTGAGGGTACTGCAGGAGACCAGGGCATATTTCAGTCCTTATCTCAACCACGTAAGACAGACACTCCCAGAGTGGCTGTTTATAGACCTCTCCCCAGGAATGCAATTCTTTTCCCAGAGTATTAATTATCAACATTCCTTGCTAGGAAAAGAATTTAGCAATATCTCTCCTATTTGCACGTCCATTTATAGGCTCTCTACAAGAAGAAAAATATGGCTCTTTTTGCCTGACCCACAGGCAGTCAGACCTTATGGTTGTCTTCCCTTGTTCCCTAAAATCGCTGTTATTCTGTTCATTTTCAAGGTGCACTGATTTCATCTTGTTCAAACACACATTTTACAATCAATTTGTACGGTTAATGCAATCATCACAGTGGCCCTGAGGGGATGTACATCCTCAGCTTATGAAGATAACAGGATTAAGAGATTAAAGTAAGACAGGCATAAGAAATTATAAAAGTATTAATTTTGGGAACTAATAAATGTCCATGAAATCTTCACAATTTATGTTCCTCTGCCGCAGCTCCAGCTGGTCCCTCCGTTTGGGGTCCCTGACTTTCTGCAATATCTTCTCCCATCTGCACAGTGCTCCTGCTCCAATAACCAAAAAGCACTAGAACAGGATCTATGCCTTCTCACTCAGATTTGATTATCACCTTGCTTCTTCACATTTATCATAATCCAAATTAATCCCATTCATGTATCTACACCCATCCTTAACCAGTGACTAGACTGCCAAGGCAAAAGGATTTGGAGGTGGTCTGGACACAGCATTTGCCATATTTGCCAATTAGCCTGAAGAATTTTAGTAGCTGTAGGCTTATTCAGCTAACATACATGGATTATACTCACCCCAATAGAATAAATAAGTAAATAAAATTTTATGAGTGCATGAACTATCACCTTACTTTATTATTCTGAAAATTCTAATTATCTAAATCACATCTGAATATTTTATCATCCAAAAATAACTTCTCTAAAGCCCTAGAAAAACGATAGGCTCAATGCAAATGCTGTATACATATTTGATGCCTTGAATAATATCAAACAGATCAATTTGTACAGAAATTTTAAAATCTTCTTTTGTCTGTAGAAACATCAATCTTGAGAGCAACCACTGGCTTCCCTTGAGCTCATAGTAAAGTATGTGTTGTCTGCAGGAATTTTTTTTCATTTTGAGTACACTAGCACTACAGATTTTAAATCATTTCAAGCTAACTTAAACTTTAGTTCACAAATTTTTGTGGATAGTTTTATAAACATCTCAAATATGAATACACAATGTTTCCCCATCTAGATTAAGATATGATGAAACATTATTAGCTCTTCTGTTGTTGGGAACAGGCCCACAAATCTAGCCATAAACTGGCCCCAGAACTGGCCATAAACAAAATCTCTGCAGCTCTGTGACATGTTCATGATGGCCATGATGCCCACCCTGAAGGTTGTGGGTTTACCAGAATAAGGGCAAGGAACACCTGGCCCACCCAGGGTGGAAAACTGCTTAAGGCATTCCTAAGCCACAAACAATAACATGAGTGATCTGTGCCTTAAGGACATGTTCCTGCTGCAGATATCTAGCCAGGGCCCATCCCTTTGTTTTGGCCCATCCCTTTGTTTCCCATAAGGAATACTTTTAGTTAATCTATAACCTATTGAAATAATGCTTATCACTGGCTTGCTGTCAATAAATATGTGGGTCAAACTCTGTTCAGGACTCTCAGCTCTGAAGGTTATGAGTCCCCTGGTTTCCCACTCCACACTGTATATTTCTGTGTGTATGTCTTTAATTCCTCTAGCACTGCTGGGTTAAGGTCTCCACAACCAAGCTCATCTTGGCATTCTGTAGCATTCCTCACACCCATTCCCAAACATCAGCCACCCCTACAAAGGAAACCACCTGTTGGTGAAGAGGCCCCAAATCTGGCCATAAATTGGCCCCAAAACTAGCCATAAACAAAATCCCTGCAGCACTGTGACATGTTCATGATGGCCATGATGCCCACACTGGAAGGTTGTGGGTTTATTGGAATGAGGGCAAAAAACACCTGGCCCACACAGGGTGGAAAACTGCTTAAAGGCATTCTTAAGCCACAAACAATAGCATGGGTGATCTGTGTCTTAAGGACATGCTCCTGCTGCAGATAACTAGCCAAACCCATCCCTTTATTTCAGCCCATCTCTTTATTTCCTGTAAGAAATACTTTTAGTAAATCTTATGACTGGCTTGCTGTCAATAAATATGTAGGTAAATCTCTGTTCAAGGCTCTCAGCTCTGAAGGCTGTGAGACCCCTGATTTGCCACTCCACACTCTATCTTTCTGTGCATGTGTCTTTAATTCCTCTAGCACCACTGGGTTAGGGTCTCCGCAACAAAGCTGGTCTCGGCAACCACCCTTTAAATTTCTAACACTACACATTAGTTTTGCATTTTAAAACTTCATATGAAATTGTAGAGTGTGTACACTTTTATGTCTGGCTTCTTTCATTCAACATTATGTTTATGGGACTCATTTATGTTGTTACATGTAACTGTAATTTGCTCTTTCCATTGCTGAATAGTATTTCACAGATATATTCACATATATGAATATGTTGATAGAATGATTGTGTCAAGATTGAGATTTATATGGGAAATGTTCCTATGACTATTGTAGTAAATGTATTTTTAGAAAACATTTGTATAAATTTCTTTCAGGCAGGAGTGAATTGCCCTTCTTTTTAAGAAGCAATATTGATGGATCACGGAGCTTGTGAATGTTCAGCTCTAGCAAATAAGTCAAACAGTTTTCCCATGTCATTGTACCAATTTATACTCCTTCCAGCTGTGAATGAGAGTTCCAGTTGCTACAGGTATTTGCCAATACTTGATATTGATAGTTTTTGTTCTTTTTTATTTTGCCATTCCAGTAGGCACTAGAGGTATTTCATTATGCTTTCAATTTATACTTTTATGATAACTAATGATGTTTGACACCCTTTCAGATGCTTAAAAATCAATTGGATATCCTCTTTAGTGAAGTGCCTGTTGAAGTGTTTTGCCTTTGAGTTGTCTGTCATTGTCATGTTAATAGAAAACTTTTATATATTCCATACACAAATAATTTGACAGATATGGTATTGCAAGTATCTTCTCCTACTCTGTTGCTTACCTTTTCACTCCCTTAAGCAGTTTTTAATTTTAATAAAATAAGCACTATAATAAAATAAAAACTTCATAAGCAGTCTTTAATTTTAATAAAATCCAATTTATAAAACTTTTCCTTTATGCTAGTACTGTTTCCTGTTTAAGAAACATTTTCCTTCCCCAAAGTCCTGAAGACATTCTCTTATACTATTCCCTAAAAATTTTATTTTGTTTTTTCATATACAACATGCATAATCTATAATTCACCTACAATATGTCATGAATATAGTGTTAAATGGGGTCATGTTTAATTTTGATATGGCTACCAAATTAATCCAATACCCTTGGTTTTAAGGTGCATTCTCTCCATACTCTTGGTCTTTGCAAAACAAATAGTTTTCTAAAAATAAAAAGCAAAAATCAATTCGCATAGTAAGTGGTAAGAATTCACTCTAAATATCAAATGAACAGAATATCAAATTTAGCTTCTATTACATTTCAGGTTTGCTGCAGTACTCTGTCTGAAAATATTTGTAATTTATTTTAAAAATATTACACACTTAGATAAATGAACAACAGGGATCCCGGGACCAAATGTAGAGGGGATTTGAAGTTGTTTCCAGAATAGCGGGTCATAAATCAACTCCTTGAATCTCTCATTTAAATCTCTCTTCCTTTTAAATCACAAAAACTTAACATTTGTGTCTCCCAAAAAAAGAGTGAAGGCATTTGTTTTTCAGACAATCATATTATTATTTTTAGGCCACTAATCAAATGGCAAACCATAAGCTAAGAGAATATAGTTTGCGAAACAAAATTTTTTCTAAGGCAGAGTTTTACTGCCAATGAGTGGTGTTTTATTTCCTTTACTATCTTACTATTTTTTTTCCAGCATAAGAAAGTATTAAATTAAAACATGTTCTTTGCAAACAAAGATTTTTATAGAAGTGGTAGGATAGTAACCACTTAATTTATGTGGAATATAAATCAATTATTAAGAACAGCAAACACTTCTATAGCATTTACCATATATCAGCTGCTATACTAAACACTACAAATACATAGGTTTAATTCTCACTGCAGTCCTCTGAGGAGAGTAATAATAGTATTCCCATTTTATAAATGGAGAGACAGAGATTATCTTGCCCATGATCATACAGTAGTAGGTTGGTGGAATCAAGATTTAAAGCTACATAGTCTCGACTCTAACACCTGTTCTAGCTATGCAACCACTTTATGACAGTTTGCAAGCATTTTGACAAAAAGAATAACAAGGCTGCTAAAAGATGTGTATTATATTTCAAGTGCATTTTTCTAATTTATTTTATCTCCCTGTGTTTTTCTTGACTATCAATTGTCTGTAAGCACAGAACTTCACTGTGCAAAAAATAATCCTCACTTTCTCCTACAT
Organism: Homo sapiens; assembly: GCF_000001405.40. Classification (NCBI taxonomy): domain Eukaryota; kingdom Metazoa; phylum Chordata; class Mammalia; order Primates; family Hominidae; genus Homo; species Homo sapiens. The sequence continues at coordinate 33,148,936 of NC_000012.12, read as the reverse complement.
TGTGATTGTTTGAATGCACTTATGAAAGTGAACAATTTATCACTCTGAGAAGGCATTATTTTTTCCAGACAGCAGGTCACCTCTGGCCTGGCTGGCTGGTATTTGCATAGTTCCAGATTCTCCTTCTATCCAGTTGCACAGCTCTGGCTTTGGTTGAGAATCACCCTGGAAATCTATTCCAATCCAAAGCCTACTCTCGAACACAGAATGTAATTCCTCCTGAAGTTAACTCCAGAGAGGAAGAATTTGGGGCCATTCTGCTCCTCCATTAGATCAGAACCATAAGGCATGTAAAGTTGTGGTTTCAAACATGGACTCTGGTATTAGATGCTCCATTCAAAGTCCAGCTTCACCAACTGGGCAAGTCACCTAACCTTTCTCTATCTGTTTCTTCATCTGTAATATGGAGATGATAATACAGTAACTACCTCTTAAGGTTCCTGTGAGAATACTAGCAGGTGCTACCATCTTTTCACTTTCTCCTTCCCAGCTAAAGCTTGATTTTGTTCACATGTCCCACCTTACCTACTCAGTCATTAGTTTCCAGGAAGGTGAAACATTCCCAATTCCTAGGTTTGGGCTGATCCTGTCTCATCTAAACTTATAATCTCATGACATTCTCATGAAATATATTATTCATCCAAGCATGGGTATATGACAAAATTTGATGAATTTATGTTTCAGGGTTGGAAAAAATGTATTTTTCTCACTCTCCCATGCTGAACATGAAACAAACAAAGCAGATAGCCCAGAATGCCACAAGAGCCATCTTACTACCACAGAGGAGGAATTAGCCAGAGGGTGAAGCTGGTACTGAAGGCAGTTTAGCAGATACATCAAAAGATCCTGGATAGATCTAATATCCAGTGTCTACAAGGAACTTAAACAAATTTACAAGAACAAAAAAACCTTTAAATAGTGGGTAAAGGATATTAACACACACTTCTCAAAAGAAGACATTTATGCGACCAACAACATGGAAAAAAAGCTCAAAATCACTCATCATTAGAAAAATGCAAATCAGAAGATGACCGAATAGGAACAGCTCCAGTCTACAGCTCCCAGCATGAGCGACGCAGAAGACGGGTGATTTCTGCATTACCAACTGAGGTACCAGGTTCATCTCACTGGGGAGTGTCAGAAAGTGGGTGCAGGACAGTGGGTGCAGTGCACCAAGCATGAGCCAAAGCAGGGTGAGACATCACCTCACCCAGGAAGTGCAAGGGGTCAGGGAATTCCCTTTCCTAGTCATAGAAAGGGGTGACAGAGGGCATCTGGAAAATCGGGTCACTCCCACCCTAATACTGAGCTTTTCCAATGGTCTTAGCAAATGGCACACCAGGAGATTATATCCCACGCCTGGCTCAGAATGTCCTACGCCCACGGAGCCCCACTCATTGCTAGCACAGCAGTCTGAGATCCAGCTGCAAGGCAGCAGTGAGGATTGGGGAGGGGCGCCCACCATTGCCAAGGCTTGAGTAGGTAAACAAAGCAGCCAGGAAGGTCGAACTGGGTGGAGCCCACCGCGGTTCAAGGAGGCCTGCCTGCCTCTGTAGACTCCATCTCTAGGGGCAGGACATAGCCAAACAAAAGGCAGCAGAGTCCTCTGCAGACTTAAATGTTCCTGTCTGACAGATTTGAAGAGAGTAGTGGTTCTCCCAACACGCAGCTGGAGATCTGAGAACAGACAGACTGCCTCCTCAAGTGGGTCCCTGACCCCCAAGTAGCCTAACTGGGAGGCACCCCCCAGTAGGGGCAGACTGATGCCTCATACAGCTGGGTACTCCTCTGAGACAAAACTTCCAGAGGAACGATCAGGCAGCAACATTTGCTGTTCACCAATATCCCCTGTTCTGCAGCCTCCACTGCTGATACCCAGGCAAACAGGGTCTGGAGTGGACCTCCAGGAAACTCCAACAGACATGCAGCTGAGGGTCCTGACTGTTACAAGGAAAACTAACAAACAGAAAGGACATCCACACCAAAACCCCATCTGTATGTCACCATCATCAAAGATGAAAGGTAGATAAACCCACAAAGATGGGGGAAAAACAGACCAGAAAAACTGGAAACTCTAAAAATCAGGGCACCTCTCCTCCTCCAAAGGAACACAGCTCCTCACCAGCAATGGAACAAAGCTGGATGGAGAATGACTTTGATGAGTTGAGAGAAGAAGGCTTCAGATGATCGAACTACTCCGAGCTAAAGGAGGAAGTTCGAACCCATGGCAAAGAAGTTAAAAACCTTGAAAAAAAAATTAGACTAATGGTTAACTAGAATAACCAATGCAGAGAAGTCCTTAAAAGACCGGATGGAGCTGAAAACCAAGGCACGAGAACTACGTGATGAATGCACAAGCCTCAGTAGCCGATTGGATCAACTGGAAGAAAGGGTATCAGTGATGGAAGATCAAATGAATGAAATGAAGCAAGAAGAGAAGTTTAGAGAAAAAAGAATAAAAAGAAACGAACAAAGCCTCCAAGAAATATGGGACTATGCGAAAAGACCAAACCTACGTTTGATTGGTGTACTTGAAAATGACGAGAAGAATGGAACTGAGTTGAAAAACACTCGGCTGTATATTATCCAGGAGAACTTCCCCAATCTAACAAGGTAGGCCAACATTCAAATTCAGGAAATACAGAGAACGCCACAAAGATACTCCTCGAGAAGAGCAACTCCAAGAGATATAATTGTCAGATTCACCAAAGTTGAAATGAAGGAAAAAATGTTAAGGGCAGCCAGAGAGAAAGGTCGGGTGACCCACAAAGGGAAGCCCATCAGACTAACAGCTGATCTCTTGGCAGAAACTCTACAAGCCAGAAGAGAGTGGGGGCCAATATTCAACATTCTTAAAGAAAAGAATTTTCAATCCAGAATTTCATACCCAGACAAACTAAGCTTCATAAGTGAAGGAGAAATAAAATCCTTTACAGACAAGCAAATGCTGAGAGATTTTGTCACCACCAGGCCTGCCCTAAAAGAGCTCCTGAAGGAAGCACTAAACATGGAAAGGAACAACCGGTACCAGCCACTGCAAAAACATGCCAAATTGTAAAGACCATCGAGGCTAGGAAGAAACTGCATGAACTAACGAGCAAAATAACCAGCTAACATCAAAATGACAGGATCAAATTCACACATAACAATATTAACCTTAAAAGTAAGTGGGATAAATGCTCAAATTAAAAGACACAGACTGGCAAATTGGATAAAAAGTCAAGATCCATCAGTGTGCTGTATTCAGGAAACCCATCTCATGTGCAGAGACACACATAGGCTCAAAATAAAAGGATGGAGGAAGATCTACCAAGCAAATAGAAAACAAAAAAAGGCAGGTGTTGCAATCCTAGTCTCTGATAAAACAGACTTTAAACCAACAAACATCAAAAGAGACAAAGAAGGCCATTACATAATGGTAAAGGGATCAATTCAACAAGAAAAGCTAACTATCCTTAATATATATGCACCCAATACAGGAGCACCCAGATTCATAAAGCAAGTCCTTAAGTCCTTAGGGACCTAGAAAGAGACATACATTCCTACACAATAATAATGGGAGACTTTAACACCCCACTGTCATCATTAGACAGATCAATGAGACAGAAAGTTAACAAGGATATCCAGGAATTGAACTCAGCTCTGTACCAAGTGGATCTAATAGATATCTACAGAACTCTCCACCACAAATCAAAAGAATATACATTCTTCTCAGCACCACACCACACTTATTCCAAAATTGACCACACAGTTGGAAGTAAAGCACTCCTCAGCAAATGTAAAAGAACAGAAATTACAACAAACTGGCTCTCAGACCACAGTGCAATCAAACTAGAACTCAGGCTTAAGAAACTCACTCAAAACCACTCAACTACATGGAAATTGAACAACCTGCTCCTGAGTGACTACTGGGTACATAACGAAATGAAGGCAGAAATAAAGATGTTCTCTGCAACTGATGAGAACAAAGACACAACATACCAGAATCTCTGAGACACATTCAAAGCAGTGTGTAGAGGGAAATTTATAGCACTAAATGCCCACAAGAGAAAGTAGGAAAGATCTAAAATTCACACCCTAACATCACAATTAAAAGAACTAGAAAAGCAGGAGCAAACACATTCAGAAACTAGCAGAAGGCAAGAAATAACTAAGATCAGAGCAGAACTGAAGGAAATAGAGACACAAAAAACTCTTCAAAAAATCAATGAATCCAGGAGCTGGTTTTCTGAAAAGATCAACAAAATTGATAGATCACTAGCAAGGCTAATAAAGAAGAAAAGAGAGAAGAATCAAATAGACACAATAAAAAATGATAAAAGGGATATCACCACTGATCCCACAGAAATACAAACTACCATCATAGAATACTATAAACACCTCTACACCAATAAACTAGAAAATCTAGAAGAAATGGATAAATTCCTCGACACATACACCCTCCCAAGACTAAACCAGGAAGAAGTTGAATCTCTGAATAGACCAATAACAGGCTCTGAAATTGAGGCAATAATTAATAGCTTACCAACCGAAAAAAGTACAGGACCAGATGGATTCACAGCCGAATTCTACCAGAGGTACAAGGAGGAGCTGGTACCATTCCTTCTGAAACTATTCCAATCAATAGAAAAAGAGGGAATCCTCCCTAACTCATTTTATGAGGCCAGCATCATCCTGATACCAAAGCCTGGCAGAGACACAACAAAAAAAGAGAATTTTAGACCAATATCCCTGATGAACATCGATGCAAAAATCCTCAATAAAATACTGGCAAATCAAATCCAGCAGCACATCAAAAAGCTTATCCACCATGATCAAGCGGGCCTCATCCCTGGGATGCAAGGCTGGTTCGACATACGAAAATCAATAAACGTAATACAGCATATAAACAGAACCAATGACAAAAACCACATGATTATCTCAATAGATGCAGAAAAGGCCTTTGACAAAATTCAACAGCCCCTCATGCTAAAAACTCTCAATAAATTAGGTATTGATGGGATGTATCTCAAAATAATAAAAGCTATCTATGACAAACCCACAGCCAATATCATACTGAATGGACAAAAACTGGAAGCATTCCCTTTGAAAACTGGCACAAGACAGGGATGCCCTCTCTCACCACTCCTATTCAACACAGTGTTAGAAGTTCTGGCCAGGGCAATCAGACAGGAGAAGGAAATAAAGGTCATTCAATTAGGAGAAGAGGAAGTCAAATTGTCCCTGTTTGCAGATGACATGATTGTATATCTAGAAAACCCCATCATTCAGCCCAAAATGTCCTTAAGCTGATAAGCAACTTCAGCAAAGTCTCAGGATACAAAATTAATGTGCAAAACTCACAAGCATTCTTATACACCAATAACAGACAAACAGAGAGCCAAATCACTAGTGAACTCCCATTCACAATTGCTTCAAAGAGAATAAAATACCTAGGAATCCAACTTACAAGGGATGGGAAGGACCTCTTCAAGGAGAACTATAAACCACTGCTCAATGAAATAAAAGAGGATAGAAACAAATGGAAGAACATTCCATGCTCATGGGTAGGAAGAATCAATATCGTGAAAATGGCCATACTGCCCAAGGTAATTTACAGATTCAATGCCATCCCCATCAAGCTACCAATGCCTTTCTTCACAGAATTGGAAAAAACTACTTTAAAGTTCATATGGAACCAAAAAAGAGCCCGCATCGCCAAGTCAATCCTAAGCCAAAAGAACAAAGCTGGAGGCATCACACTACCTGACTTCAAACTATACTACAAGGCTACAGTAACCAAAACAGCATGGTACTTGTACCAAAACAGAGATACAGACCAATGGAACAGAACAGAGCCCTCAGAAATAATGCCGCATATCTACAACCATCTGATCTTTGACAAACCTGACAAAAACAAGAAATGGGGAAACAATTCCCTATTTAATAAATGGTGCTGGGAAAACTGGCTAGCCATATGTGGAAAGCTGAAACTGGATCCCTTCCTTACACCTTATACAAAAATTAATTCAGGATGGATTGAAGACTTAAATGTTAGACCTGAAACCACAAAAACCCTAGAAGAAAACCTAGGCAATACCATTCAGGACATGGCCATGGGCAAGGACTTCATGTCTAAAACACCAAAAGCAATGGCAACAAAAGCCAAAATTGACAAATGGGATCTAATTAAACTAAAGGGCTTCTGCACAGCAAAAGAAACTACCATCACAGTGAACAGGCAACCTACAGAATGGGAGAAAATTTTTGCAATCTACTCATCTGACAAAGGGCTAATATCCAGAATCTACAATGAACTCAAACAAATTGACAAGAAAAAAACAAACAACCCCATCAAAAAGTGGGTGAAGGATATGAACAGACACTTCTCAAAAGAAGACATTTATGCAGCCAAAAAACACATGAAAAAATGCTCATCATCACTGGCCATCAGAGAAATGCAAATCAAAACCTCAATGAGACACCGTCTCACACCGGTTAGAATGGCGATCATTAAAAAGTCAGGAAACAACAGGTGCTGGAGAGGATGTGGAGAAATAGGAACACTTTTACACTGTTGGTGGGACTGTAAACTAGTTTAACCATTGTGGAAGTCAGTGTGGCGATTCCTCAGAGATCTAGAGCTAGAAATACCATTTGACCCAGCAATCCCATTGCTGGGTATATACCCAAAGGATTATAAATCATGCTGTTATAAAGACATATGCACACGTATGTTTATTGTGCCACTATTCACAATAGCAAAGACTTGGAACCAACCCAAATGTCCAACAATGATAGACTGGATTAAGAAAATGTGGCACATATATACCATGGAATACTATGCAGCCATAAAAAATGATGAGTTCATGTCCTTTGTAGGGACATGGATGAAGCTGGAAACCATCATTCTAAGCAAACTATCGCAAGGACAAAAAACCAAACACCGCATGTTCTCATTCATAGGTGGGAATTGAACAATGAGAACACATGGACACAGGAAGGGGAACATCACACACTGGGGCCTGTTGTGGGGTGAGGGGAGGGGGGAGGGATAGCATTAGGAGATATACCTAATGTTAAATGATGAGTTAATGGGTGCAGCACACCAACATGGCACAAGTATACACATGTAACTATCCTGCACGTTGTGCACATGTATCTTAAAACTTAAAGTATAATAAAAAAAAGACATAAAAATAAAAAAAAAGAAATGTGGCAGATCCACATAGTTTGAAGAGGGCAGTTACAATGTCACACTGTTGGACATCATTGGACTTGACAGTCACCCAGCTTGCTCGAGCCACTTTGTCTCAATCTACATTTCTGCCATCTGCACGCACACTCAGATGTCACTTGCCCAATCCACATCATAAAAGGGAAAGAAGTCTGCCTCCGTATACATGCCCAAGGTGTGTTTAATGTTAAATAATAAAATGTTTCTCAATAAAAAAAAAATAAAAAGAGGTTAATAAAGGAAGGTGCTATGATCTGATTGTTTGTTTCACCAAAATTCTTATGTTGAAACCTAATCACCAAATTGATGGTGATAGGAGGTGGTTTGGGGAAGTAATTAGGTCATGAAGGCAGAGCCTGCATGAATGGGATTATTGCCCTGAAAAAAGAGACTACAGAGAGCTACCTGGTCCCTTTATACTATGTATATTATAAAGGCACCATCTATGAACCTAGAAAGTAGGCCCTTACCAGACACTAAATCTGCCAGTACCCTTGATCTTGAACTTCTCAGCCTCTAGAACTGTGAGAAATAAATTACTGTCATTTATAAGCTACCTAGTATGATGTTTTGTTGTAGCAGTGCACATGGACTTAGGCAGAAGGCATCTGGAGCTCTCTGAGAAGTCCACTATAATTTCAGTAGCATTAAATGATTTAGCTTGAAAATTACTCAGATGTTAAATATAATTTATGGCTGGCACATCTATATTGCTAAAGTGTTTAAATCTCTTTTTCTTACTAAAAACTCAGTCTACCACATAAGGAAAAGTAAATCTGCTTTACAGATTTTCCACTGTAATTACTGTTAAGAACTATAATCATTAAGTATAATTTAGCATTAAATGAAATTGTACACAAAAGTAAATGGTAGCAGAATTATAGATTTAGGCTATCTGCTACTACGAAATTAAGTTTAAAATTTTCAAGCAAAGTCTATATGGTAGTTAGCACATATTCATAAGCATGTGTATTGCCCATAAATCCAAGGGAGATTGTAAAATTCCTATACAAGATACAAATCCAACTATTTGTATTTCTCCCAAGATGTCACACTCTATTGAATTTTCTTTATGTCACATTCTGCTTTCCATAATAAGTCATAGAGTCCATTAAATTTTGAAAAGAAGATAAGAATACAGAAAATAACAGTTTACCTCTTAAATAACTTCGTGTTTACATTGTTGAATAAAGGCATTTTTATTTATTCCCACAAGTTTTCTGCAAACAACAAAAATTTTACCGAAAACAACAGTAAGAATGAAAAACAGAGAAAATGATCCATATTTGAAGAATTAAGTTAACTCTCTCTATTCCAAAGTGCATACAATAAGTTTACCTGCCAAACATCATGGAATCGGGGCCAGGAGACAAAGTCCTGCGAGTGAACTCATGCCTCCTGGGACTCTAGCAGGTGCGGAATTTCTCCAAAATAAGTACCTTTGTCTAGAAAGGCTTAACCTATGACTCTAACTAAAATGTCAACATTTAGAGTATGGATGGACAGCAGAAAAAGAAGAGATGGTCCTGTAAAGATTTGATTCCTTTAAATATTCACACAACATCACAAAATGTCAGGGGTCAAATCATGCTGTCACATTATTTCTACTATCCACCCCCTAGATTTCTAGTAGGGCAAAGATCACCAGAAGTGAATGGGTGATTAGAAGAAGGGGCAGCAAGCCCATACCCTAAAGAGCTTTGCTGTGAACCACATTATCCTCCTAAAGAAACTGATGTGCCCCAGATTTTAAAAAGTAGTAAAACGAGACACTTGATGAAATATTCAAGATCACAAATGGTAACTGAATATAGTCATAGATCTCTCCCCTCTCCAATGCTCCTCTCCTAGTCTCATTCTATTCTTCCAGAGGTTAAGGAATTCCATTTGAGGACAAGTCATAATGAGAAATAAACAAACACAAAATATGCAGAAAATCTGGAAGGAAAATGAGAAGAGGCAGATGAAAAAAGACAAATCAAATGGAAATTCGCCCATTGAAACATGAAAAGTCAGACAAATAAATAATTTCTATTCTTTCAAAGAAGTTACAGCTTTGAACTCTCTTATATATAAAAAAAAAAGGTCAGTGAGCAGGTACAAATATTCAAGGAGACTACAGAGGTGAAAAGGGAGCTTAGGAGCTCACAAGAGAAAAGGAAGGAAAACATTAAAATGCAACAGAGACCAAAGCCAAATTAGTAGCCAAACATAAGCACAAACAGACATGCACAAATGAGCACAGTCAAGAACATGATGAACACTATTCTGCAATTCACAGAAAACAACATAAAAAAGAACAATGATTTCAAATTGAGTATAGAGATGATAATAGACAAAGAACATAGGTAAAGGTATCAACAATTGCATCATTGCTATGATTTCATGAAGAAAAGAACTGAATAAATAAAACAGATAATATATTATAATCTAAAACATAAGAAAACAATCCTGGAAAAAAAAATGGCCTTAATCTGCACATCAAAGAAGTAGATCATGTTCCAGGAAAAACTGATGCAATAGAATTGGCACTGAGACATACCCTCAGGAAGGTACTGAACTACAAGGACAAAGAAAAAATCATAAGACATCCAGGTAACAAAACAAAAATCATATGTTAGGTCAGCCTCTCACTATAGAAGCATTCATTGCTAGAAAATTGTATAACAATGGAACCAAATTTATATAAAAGGAAGATAGGGTGACCCTAGAATTGTATATCTAGGTGGGTATTAATTATTAACTATTGTGTTTTAATCTACAGACTTTATTCAGATATCTACAATTGTTCCAATATTGTTCTTTATTGCAAAAGAAAATCTGGAATCATGTATCACATTTTATTGCCAGGTCTCTTTAATCTGGTACAGTTCTACCATCTTTTTTTGCAATTCTTTAAATTGATTTTTTTTAAGAGAAAGTCTTTAAAATTGGGTTGTCTGATGTTTTACTTGTACTCGGATTATGCACCTTTGACAGGAATATTACAGACACAATCTTAGCCAAGTGAGCAGATTAAAATCACTGACGATGGGACAAATTTACATCATATTCCTTTTTATATAATGAACAGAGAATAACAAACCCAGATTTTGAAAACTTAATTCCTCAGATATATGGCCAGGAGTTTGAGACCAGCCTGGGCAACATGGCAAAACCCTGTCTCTACAGAAAGTACAAAAATTAGCCGGGCGTGGTGGCACACACCTGTAATCCCAGCTACTTGGGAGGCTGAGGTTGGAGGATCACCTGAATCCAGAAGGTCAAGGCTGCAGTGAGCTATTATTACACCACTGCACTCTAGCCTGGGCAACAGAGTGAGACCTTGTCTCAAAAAAAAAAACAAATGAGAGAGAGAGAGAATAACAAACTCAAGTCCTGAAAACAATTCCTCAGAAATAGACTATAAAAGCATTTTTGGTTATTCTATTTTTAAACATAACAAAGAATTATACATAGTAGAAGTAACTTCCTGTCACACTGCCATCCCAACCCTCAAGTTCATTTATATTAATGTTTTGCTATTAATGATTTAGAAATTCAAATCAAAGGAAGTTGCTATTAATGATATGGTGGATATTTGTCACACCTTTTTCTGTGATTTTACATAGATAGAAAATACCTAGTTGTGTTGCTTTTTGGCAGGGGAGGTGAAGATATTAACATATAAACATAATTAAACTGCATATTTAGTTCTATGGCTTGATTTATTTAATATATTTTAGAGTGTTTCTCATGACAGTTCACAGATACCTCATTAAAATCTGATGAATAAAATTCTATGGTATATATAAAGCATAATTTATTTAACTATCCTTAAATTGATAGACATTGTAGGTGACCTTCAACTTTTTAGTATTTCAAACAATGCTCCAACAAGCCCTCTTGTACATGTCTCTTCATGTACACATACAAATACTTCTTTGAATGGATACCTAGCAATGGAAAACTTGAAATATATAACATTTTGATTTTTTTATCAATTCTGGCAAATTGTTCTCTAAGTTAACTCCTCATTTTATGCTCTTCCTAACTATATGAGACTCTGTTTATACTTAATATTAATAATTTTAATGTTTACTAATATATTGGCAAACAAAAACCTTACTATTGATTGCCAGAGAAATTGTGTGCTCTTTCTTAAATTTATTGGTCACTTTTATAATCCTTCCATTAATTGCCCATTTTTATCCTTTGCATATTTTATTGTGCATATTTTTCTACTTGATTAGTAAGTTGCTCTTTATGCTTCTTTGCATATTAATTATTTATGGTACTAAGGTTTCCAATGCATGTTCTCCCAAGTGTAGACTATCTTTTATTCAAGTACACCCTACACTAGATTGCTGGAGGAGGCTTAGAAAATCAAAAGTCCCAATGTCATGATTTTACCCAAGGGAAACCTAAGACCTACAGACAGAGGCATATTAATTTATTATAATTTATAAAACTAAAGCCTTAGCATTATAGAAGAATGCCAAAAAAGTGTGGGATACTGGAGAAGAGAAATTTGGAATTTACATTTTGTCAAAAGACATGAGTTGGAGCCCAATCTGAGCTAATAATTGACTGTTCTTGGAAATAATATTGGGCAAATACTTCAAATCCCTTGAAAGAGAATTGAACTTGGAATCTAAAGGCATAGGTTTGAGACTTGGCTCTACTACTTACTAGCTGTATACAAATCTTACTCTTCATTTGTAAAACAAGAATACAAATAGATCCCCGTACATATTTCAAATCATTGATGTGAAAACCAAATGTTTTAAGTAAAAAAAGACTTTATGTCTTTCAAATATGACATAAATACAGGTAAAACCAGAGTGACTTTGGGTGATATACCTCTACCCCAAAAATAAACCATTAACTACTTCCCAGTTACCAGCTCTAGTGAGATACGAAAGCCAAACTTTTAATGCTATATACAAGATAATAAAGATTTCTCTTGTATAAAGTTTCTCATTCTTCCCTGTCATTAATCTTCACAAATTCATTATTAATTTTTCAACAGGCCACATACACTTCAACTACTCTAAGTTTCAATCATTTCTTATTATTAATTTTACAAGTAGTTTCAGGTTACTTGGTTTAAAACATGAAATTAAAATGCCCAAACTTATTTTTACTGCCCATGATAGAAAAATATTAAAGACAAACATCATGGCATTAATAATTGTTTTGAATATTTTCATAAAAATTACCTCAAATTATAGAAGTTTATTATTTTAAATGAACTATAAGCACAACTATGTGGCATATAGCAGGTTGTCATCAAGTCTGTTATAATTGACTAAGAATTTGCTTTCCAGGTGATTTGAATCCTTTTTATAGTACTTCTCAATGTAATCATTTCATCTTCTCAGAGAAAGACATGTAAATGAAACTCATTATTACAGAATGTGGGCAAGATCATCTAGTGCCTTTCTGCTGAAAAATTACAAGAGTTAAATAAGACCATTAATGCAGAATTCATCACTTTGATGAGACTACGGATTGAAATTCACTCTCACATATATCTTATTTCTAATGACCTCAGACCAACATGTGTTAATAAAGGCTAGGACTTCATTATCAATGTTAAAATAGTTGCTGAAAACTATTCAAATGCAGTAACTTTTTAATGCAACATTTTCTTTGTAATAAAAAAATTTCTTAAATACCTTGGATATTTTATGCTTATATTTTACTGAAAATATGGTGACAGAGTTAGTTTCTTAATTGCCACTGGCCAAACATGAATACTCTAAATGTTCTCAATCTTAGTTTAGCGATACTAAGAAGATATAAGAATTTGGTACAATATAAATAACTAAGAATTGGTGTATTATAAACTAAAGAAGACAGAAACATGCACTCACTTAATCACATACACACATAAATGCTCGCAAAAGCACGAAGACCCTGGCTTCCTTATAAGAGATCTAGCACCTCAGAAACATGCATTAAAAAAAATGGTAAGTTACAATAAAGTCTTATAATTTGTTTTCCTTGATACATATTTGCTGCTCTTTGCTCTAATAATAATCCTTCTATAATTCTATAATTTTACCATATTTATGTTTCATAAAATTCAGGCCATTTCTTCTGGTCATCAGCATTCATACAGTATGTATAGAGGTTCCCATTTTAAAGTTAATATGTATAATCTGAAGAAGCTAATCTTTGTATGATTTGCAGATGATGAAAAGTCATCACTGCATGATTTCCAACACAAGGCTCCTGTCAGAGTGGCTTGCACCTCAATACAAGATTCTTAGTGAATGATCCCATAAACAATGCTAATATGAACATAAGTTTCAGAGAAGATTTTCCACTTTCAAAAATGGCCATTTGATGGCTGGGCACTGTGGCTCACACCTGTAATCCCCAGAACTTTTGGAGGTCAAGGCATTTGGATAGCTTGAGCCTGGGAGTTCAAGACCAGCCTGGGCAACACGACAAAATCCCGTCTCTACTAAAAATACAAAAATTAGTCAGACGCAATGGCACGCAATTGTAATCCCAGCTACTCAGGAGGCTGAGGCAAGAGAATCGCTTGAACCTGGAGGCGGAGTTTGCAGTGAGCGGAGATTGCCCCACAGCTTGGGCGACAGAGCAAGATTCAGTCTCAAAAAAAAGGTCATTTGTTAAATTTTGCAGTCTTCTGGTTTTAAGCGTTTCTGCATTTCATGATTCTAGTGTCTAGGTTTTCTTCATTTAACACAAATTCAGAAATGTCTTTACAACTAAAGACCCCAGGGTGGTGGACAAATTCCAAAATAAGAGTCACTAAGGGCAAGTCCACAATCTCTATTCTCTAGCTCAGAGACTACAAACAAACAGCTCATGGCCTAAAATTTTTTTCACCCAATTTGCTAAAACGAAACAAAAAAATGAATGTTACTGGTATTTTAAAATAAAATGTTTCACACAAAATATTAAGCCTTCAGTTTCACTGTAAAGGTGCAACATCTAGCTGCTCACCAATCACTTACTACCTCTAGCTAACTGGAGGCTGAACCCTTCAATTGGAGCACGTGCACTTCCTGTCACTGAAGTCCCCACCATTTCCTATTGTACTAACGTGGCCCTTTGCATCTGGCTTTACTTGCCTGGGCACTCTAGGGCTTTGAATCTGAGACCCCAAACCGAAGATTAACAAAATTACCACACGATTGAGAAGATTAGATGAAGATCAGCATATTTTGATATCTAAGGATCACTTTATGAAGTGATCCTCATTTTATAAAGACACCTGATGTATCAACATAAAACTGCTATCTACAAGATAAGAAACAATCTTGGAAACTATAATTTTTCATAAAGATTTTTAGAAATGGAGTCAGTGGTATTTGTGCAAGTTCTTTCCAAGATAGCTGTTGGGGAGCTGGTGGTCTCCTCCGTGTTTGGGCTGCATACAGAGAAGCTGTGGGTTCAGTGAACAGAGCAGAAGGAAATTACCTAGATCAATACCCTTATACGTTTTGCCATGCCAGAATCAAGATAAGCAGCCTCAAGCAGGGTTATTAAGCCAAAAGAGCATATTGGGAGAGGTAATACACAATCCATGCGGACCAAGAAACTAGGCAGCTGATTTATGAGAAAATTCCATGTGCCCCTTTGCCACTTTCTGGCATGTTTAGGTATGTTTAGAACAGTTAAGATATTGAAACAGAGAAGATGGCAGTTAAAATTATGGGTGTCTCCAAACATGGTGATTCCTGCCCTCTTCTTCTTACCCTTGCCCCACCTATGCCTGGCGACCTGGCTGCCCACACATATCCCCACGTTTGTAAAACATCATGGCACCCTTCATTTGCATATTAAAAGGCTAGGGTGGGAGGACCAGTTTTTTCGCAGGCTACGTGAATGACATACCTGGTCAAACTAATCCCCTGAGCGCTATGCAAATCAAACACAGCCTCCTCCAGCCTCTTCATGTACCCTGCTGGTATCTGTGGCAGGTGGGGTTTCCTCTTTCGGCTTTGGAACCCCCTCCCTCTGTCTCTGTACAAGGGAGCTTCTTCCTTCTGCCTTCTTCCTTCCTTCTTGCCTGTTAAACTCTCTGCTCCTTAAAACCAAAATAAATACATAAAATACATAAAATAAAATAAAATTATGAGTGCCTCTTGTTTTCATATGTGTGTTTGTCACATAATATGTTTGAAGTTAAATTATTTTTGTTTTTATAATAAAATAATAGCAATTATTTTTATGGTAATTTATAATGCATAATATTATGAAAACGGTAAACTTTAGAAACATTTCTGTCTGAAGTCCTTAAGAAATTAAATGTTGGGGCCAGGCACAGTGGCTCACGCCTGTAATCCCAGCACTTTGGGAGGCCGAGGCAGGTGGATCACCTGAGGTCAGGAGTTTAAGACCAGCCTGACCAATATGGTGAAACCCTGTCTCTACTAAAATTACAAAAATTAGCCAGGTGTGGTGGTGTGCGCCTGTACTCCCAGCTACTTGGGAGGCTGAGGCAGAAGAATTGCTTGAACCAGGGAGGCGGAGGTTGCAGTGAGCCAAGATCGCGCCACTGCACTCCAGCCTGGGTGACAGAGCGAGACTCTGTCTCAAAAAAAAAAAAAGAAAAGAAAAGAAAAGAAAAGAAAGAAAAGAAATGTTGGAGGAAAAGATGTCCTCCTTCTTTGCAATTGATGCCAGTTTTAGGATTGGTTTAGGAAATACTGGCTTTTTTCTTGGTATGTTAAAATATTATAACTAAGGTTATAGATTTCAACCGATATAACCCGAGGAAGAGTGCTCTTTCTAGACAAGAAGAAATTACCCATCGTTTGGAGGGGAGAAGTAAGTTTTTTTCCCTCCCAGTAATGCTGATTTTGCTTCTCCAGAACTTCTTTTCACAGCCCTGAAAACTTTTTAAAGTAGCAGAATTGAACTTGACCTGAAGACACACCTCTAAATGTTCATTGTATTGTCTCTTCTCCCCACTCTTGACCTTTCTGAAATCTTCAAAATGGAGCTATTGCCAACCACAACCTTTCTTCCTTCTGATGTAGCTTCAACTTTGGACAGCAGAAGATCAGTTGTCCACTTCCTGCTTGCCTGTGACTGAAGAAGTTGAGAGGCCAGATAAAAGACGAGAGGCAATTTTCCTTGAGGTGTCAGTGAGGTGTTTAAAATGAGCTGCAAAACTAGAGCACTCGAGCTTTTGAAGTCATTTGGGGAGAATTGGCCACCTTGCATTCAGTCATTCAGGTCACCTGGGCTGCATACCAGAATAAGAGGGAAGCTAGAGCTGAAGGGGACCACTCAGACCTGGCAGCAAAGGAACCTACAACACACAATGAAGCCAGGTTATTACCATGGAAACTGTCATTGCATTATGTTCTTTGCATCCATGCAGGAAGGTTGCATTGTTACTAACATCGGGTCAATAAAAGGAAATTAATTTATAGAATGTGGGAAGGTAAAACCTATATTTGGGGTAAGAGGATTAAAAAGGGAAAACTTAGATCCCAGAACTAAAGTATATTTACCAAGTGACCGCACTCCAGGGAAAAATCCTGCATTCTGGGGAGATGCATACCTAGGAAAAACTGGACATAAAAGTTAGGATGACCTTTTTTCAGGGGCATCTAGGAAAGCATTCTTCATATCCTTACTTACAAGCAAGAGGTGGTAGACATGACTTTTTTCAAGTCCTTCTGGGGGACCTGAATTTGTTTGACACTCCCAGGATGAAATTTAACTCTTCCCCCAGAGGACCATCAACAAACAGGAACCCCATATGGTTCTAAATATACAAAAGGCAGGGTTTTCTGGCTTCATTTTCACTGAAAACTCTTTGATTGAATTTAATATTCCCTCTGTCTAAATCCTCTTTACTCTCTGTGGCTAGCACTTCCTCCACCTTCACAGTTTACACACTACACAATTTAAACTTCACCTCCTTATATACACTGTACTTGATCTGCAGCAACAAAACTGGGTTCCCTCCCGTGATTCAGAATCTCAGTATCTTGTTTAGTTCCTTTATATGACATATCACAAATTGTCATAACTTTTTGGTTTTGTGCTTCCTTCTTTATTGACTCTCCATCCCTACCACTACATTGCTAGTGCTGGGAAACTGTGGGCCATGTTGGTTTATTTCAGATCTGTATCTCCTGGATACCTTGCATAGTGTCTGCCACAATCATTACTCCATAAATTTTTGTTGAATACATGTCTACAGGTGGGCCAAGAATAATTGCCCTAATGTTCCAGTTCTTCAATGAAACCTAGGTAAAATGAAGTGAAACAATTTCTTTATGGAAGGATTCTTATTGTCAACTGTTAATCTCAAAGAAGAGTCTATAGTTTGCCTTTTTTTTCTTAGATTTATTTCATCATGAAACTACTTTTTCATGGTACACCTGTTAACATCAGCTAGATCTGTGTTCAGGATCTCTTCACCAAAAACATCAGTTAGCCAATGGACCAGAGCAGCTTCTTAGACAAAAATGCCTTTCAAGTCAAAAAGGGTGATCCACTTGGCTACCATAGCCCAGATATACATAGCTTCATGAGCATCCAAAATCATTTTCTGCTTTTGTTTATCATGCAATCTTCTAACTTGTAATTTATTTGAAACTCTTTCTAGAAAGGGGAGCCCCATGCCACCAATAATTCTGTTTTCCCGTTAAAGATATCCCTTTTGTAAATCAATAAACTGGCATTTAGATTCATAAATTACAAATCCATCTTCTATGAATTTGACAAGAAAAAACTAAACTTTACTAGAAATCATGACAAATAAGTTATTTGATGCTCAAAAACTGAGGAACAGAATCTCATTCAAAATATTATACCACTGATCAGCCTGCTGGCTGAATCTGACTTTATCTGCAATTACTGAAAATTTGAAAAGTAGCCACATAAAATTATCCTAGAACCCAAAAATATGTTACAGAACATTGTTATTGGTTCTCTTCAGATCTCTGTTGGGCATGGTCCTTTGTCTTGAAGGAAATACCAATCAGTGGTAAATTAATTCATGCATTCATTTATTTATTTGCCAAATGTGTGTGGAATACTTTCTACGGGTCACATTTATTCTACATGTTGGAGATGCAGTGAGGAGTACTTGCTGTCAAGCAGCTCAGAGACAAAAGAAGATAGACGAAAACATGAAATACAATCAATTTTTTTTTGAGACAGAGTCTCACTCTGTCGCACAGGCTAGAGTGCAGTGGCACAATCTCAGCTCACTGCAACCTCCACCTCCCAGGTTCAAGCAATTCTTCTGCCTCAGCCTCCGGAGTAGCTGGGACTACAGGTGCACGCCACCACGCCCAGCTGATTTTTGTATTTTAGTAGAGATGGGGTTTCACCATATTGGCCAGGCTGGTCTCGAACTCCTGACCTCGTGATCCGCCTGCCTCGGCCTTCCAAAGTGCTGGGACTACAGGCATGAGCCACTGTGCACGGCCAATAAAATCAAATTTAAATTAAAACCCCCTCCATAACAAGTGCTATGATAAAATTTGTTTCTGGTACTGTGGAACACATGGAGAGGCATCTTTGAAATCAGGGAGAATAGGACCTTGGAAGTACTAACCCTTGTAGGGACAGATATCACAGCATCATTCCATGTTGCAGAATGCATATCAACTATCTGTCAAATATTGAATTCCTCCAAGCAATGGAACAAAGTATAATCACCAGTCAAGAAGCACTACTTTAAACCAGTTGCCTTCAAGAGTGTGCTAGAGGTCAACTGAAAACAGTGACGTTGGAGAGCATAAACACCTACAGGATTTGTGCTCTGCCTACTTTTTTAGGTGTTATGTATGCTTTCTAGTTATTAAATACTGAGACAGTGTACCTGGATTATGTAAGCATGGTTTACGAGTATAAAAGTGTCTTTAGAGTTACCATGTAATATCATTTGAAGACTGGTTCTCATAATTAAAATGTTATTATTTGACATCCTTATGTGAGAAACCACCAAAAATGCTCTCCTAGAATTTAATACCAAGAAAATAATGTCTCTCCAGATGAACACATATTTGCTTTTCTTATTATAAAAAACTTGTGATTCATCCTGTGTTGTTTCCCTTCTGTCAAGAGGAAGAGAACAGAAACATGTAGGGTTTAGTTGTTGTGACTATCTCTCTATAAATCCCAGTACAAATATTTTCCTCTTTCTAAATTATTTCTGATCATGATTGGTATTCTGTTTAAGCCATTTGTTCCTTTATATATTCAAACACCACAAACTTAATTAAAACCTCTTTTGAAGTAAAAAGTATCCTAAATTATTAATCAATAAATAAATGAACAGGCAGATGAATGGATGGATAGGTAGATGGTTTCACAGGTAAAAGTTTTCAATCTTTATAAAAACTTAGATCCTCAAATATAGTCAGTGCTATGTTATGTTTTTGCACGTTTCTAAACAATAAAAATAATACTTATTAACTAAATAGATAGTAAGCAACATTTTATATCTGAGAATATGCTTAGTTTTTAAATGATTCATTCAAGTCCCCAGGATATACATATTTGCATCTTTTAATCACAGCACTAGTGAGTTAATATTTCCTAATTCCATTGGAACAGTACTTGGCATAGACAAAATGCTACATATACGCTTGTTACATAAATTATTTTATAAAGTATTACAAATGGTTGCTAAAACTTCAGAATTGTTGAGAAATTTAGTTATAATAGTGCATGCTTGACTAAGGAAATACAAGTGTTCCAAGAAAAAAAAATTGTAAATATTTTAAAACACATATTAACATCCCTTAAACAAAATTTCAACCAAGCATCATTGCCTTTTATGTGTTATAATATTAATAGTTTTTTAAATGTGCCTTAGGATAGAACTGACATCAATAGACCAAAACTCCCTGAGAGAACCTGAAAAACACCTTCTACTGAATCTGAAATATAAAAAGCTGGTTCATTCTGATCTCCAGGGATAGAGTACAAGCCAGTACATGATGTTCAACTGTTTATATTGACATTAATAATACATGAGTAGATGAATGATTTAACCACATATCAGGGCACTCTTAACACTCGAAGAGGTAAATGTGGGACAAATGAAAAGAAAACACAATCTCCCAGGCTCTGAATACAACGGTGGCTGTTTCAGGAGCCTCTGGATGAAAATAACATGTCAAGGGCAGAAAGGAATCAAGATTCTCCTGAGGGTAGTCTACAAATTTTTCCATCTTAGGGGACAGCTGTAGGAATGATAACATTTGAATAAAAAAAAGAAATTAAACAAGTGACTTTATTTAAAAAATGGAAGCAAGACTTCTCTAAGACTCATTTCCATGCAAGGGCAGAATAATTATAAAGTTAGACCCAAAGGAGCTTCCTACAATTCATTAAATAGAAGCACCACCTGGGCTCTACTGGGAAATGAGAACACCAAGCTCCAGTTAGAAACTGAAGAAGCTAGAAACCCAACTGGTATCAAGTTTTTATCCCAATGGATCACAAAGTATTGGCAATATTCCTGCCTGCACACATGCGTTAAATTCTAACTGGGGTAGAATTTAAAAGGGGTCCTTCCATTTAGTTTCCACAAGAACTTCCACATGCAGGTAGTTACCTTGCCTTGCATTTGAACCTAGTTTGATATATATCACACATTCTGGTATACGTCATATATTGTGGTATGCATAATTCGTTTGGACAGTGCACACCTATGTAAAAGGTTCTGCACCTGTAACACTGACTGTGATAATGAAGGCAATCTCAGGTATCATATACTAAATGAAAAAGTTGCTAAGAAAGCAAAGACAGAAGCAAATTCTAAAATGTGCACTTCTCAGACTAACAACAATTTATTCCGTCTAATAAAACAGCCTCCTACTTAAGACAAGAGACTAAAGAGATCTCTTATCTACCACATATTTAGTTAACTGTGATGAGACCTCAGTTTCTGCATCTATAACATGGGAATAATAATATCTACCCCACAGGAGTAGGTGTGGAGTTTAAAGAGGGACAACTTGTGTTAAA
The DNA here is from genome assembly GCF_000001405.40 of Homo sapiens. Classification (NCBI taxonomy): domain Eukaryota; kingdom Metazoa; phylum Chordata; class Mammalia; order Primates; family Hominidae; genus Homo; species Homo sapiens. The sequence continues at coordinate 33,127,749 of NC_000012.12, read as the reverse complement.
CTTTACAAACATGCCCTAAAACAGTGCTATCCAGTAAAATACAATGCTGGCCACAAATGTAAGCCACATGTATAATTATAAATATTCCAGTAGCCACATTTAAAAAAACATATATGAGGATTATAAAAGGTTAAAAAGAGCAGAGGCAATTCACTTTAATAATGTATATCTTAAATCCAATATATCTACAGCATTATTTCAGCATGCAATCAATATTAAAAATTATTGAGACATTTTACATTTTTTCTACAAAATCTTTGATATCTCGTGTATTTTACACCTGTAACACATCTCAGCTTGGTCTAGCCCCCTTTCAAGTATTCAATAGCCACATGACTAGTCGCTATTATTTTGAACAGGGCAGCTCTAGAAAATAGTTAACACTCAACAGATATTTACGGTACTAATTATTTTAGGAGTATTCATATTACTACTACTTGGCGTTATTGGTATTAGTATTACTATTACAATATTCCTAAGCAATGTTTGTTACTATTCATAGAATCATGAAATAAGTTTAAATATCTTACAAAATATTAAAGATTCTAGTGAGGCTCTAAGAGCTGATAAGTATAAAAGAAGATATGCATCTTAACATGTAAAGAAAAACAACAGAAGATGGTCAGAGAGCATAGCAAATGTTCAATGGAAAAACCAACCAAGAAACCCTGGATGGACATGGAAGAAATTCTAGATACAGTGCATATTTCAAGAAAAGTTTAAAAGAAAATACAGGATCTGAAACTATAAAACATAGGTTTAAATTTTTACTTATAGCCAATATAGTGGAAGTTATTAATGAAAATCCTTGCTTATTATCCAAAAACTCCAGATAAATTTAAAGGCCTTTGCAGTACAACTTGGATGTACAGTTTTGAATTAAGCGAGATCAGAATTGTACAAGAGCTTCTAGAACAGAATGACTTTCTGAGCCAGAGAGCTTCTTTGGGGAAAAAATATAACCTGAGTTATAAGAGATTTATGCCTAAAGGAATGTATAGGCCTTGTTATCAGATTCCCAGAGAGAAACCTCACAAGAGACTGAGGACTTCCTGGGGCTCTCTGATAAGCCCATTCCCTAAATCCACAATGCATTCTATCTCTCACTCAGTTCCCTTTCTGGCAAACCCCTAATTATGCTTCAAATATCAACTTAGCCTTCCCTTCCTTTGGGAAGCTTTCTCTGACCCTAAAAGATCCAGACAGATTCCCATGGCAACTTCTTTTTACCTTCATGTTAGTTCTTACCTCAGTGTATTTCAATTCCAAGGATACTTGCCTATTTCTCTATTTTTACTGCATTTTCCCAAATTTTCTTTTTGAAACTGTTTTTCTTAATTACTTTCTCTCTCATGACCTTACCATTCTCTACGCTTTCAACCAGCCCATCTATGCTAATGGTTTCTAAATTTATACCTGAAACTTGCTGGAATTCTCCACTTTTATACATACAAAACTAAAATGATCAACACATCCTTTAAAAACCAACTCCTCTTCCTGAAATGTGATTTCTTTTCATAGCTTCACTGTTCTTCTGGTCTCAAAGGACATCTCGAGTTTATTCTTGGCTTCTTCCTCTCCCTATGCCACCATGTCCAAACAGGGCCAGTCCTGTAGATAACCCCACCAACATGTCTCTAGAATGTGTTTCCATTTTTCTTATTGAGAACCTCATTAGTTCCTACCAATATATCTTCTCTCTCTCCAATCCAGGAATCTCTCCTACCCAAGTCTGCTGACACATTGCTGCCAAATGTTCTAAATGCATATGTTTGTTCAGGCTACTCCTCTGTTCAAATTCCTTGACTTTATCCTAGCATATTAAATCTTGCCCTCTAATCCTTGCTTTCTAAATCTCCATAATCTGGCCCCAAGCTATTCTCTGAGCCTTCTTTTCTACCATTACTCTCCACTAATCAAATATTCCAGCCAAACTAGTTTTCTGTTCCTCCAAATAGTTCCTATGCTTTTTCTGTCTCATTTTTCCACTTCTGCTTGGGAGGACATTGCTACACAGTCTACACCCACAAAATCCCATATTTTAGCTGATCTTTGTTTTAAAAATTATCTTTTTCTTCACTTGAACCTCCACCTATCTTTTAGGACTTAATGTGTATTATAGAGTTCCACATTTACTTGGTTAATAGTTTCTAGTCAATTCAAAGGTCTTTGAAGATGGGATTGTGTCTTGTTTTTCTTAGTATCACTTACAACACACCGACCTGGAGGAAAGCAGTTAAGAATACAAAAGGAGGAAGAAAATCTCCCCAGATAATGTTTCTGAGGGTGTCCCATTGTGAATTAGAAGCAAATTGGAAGATTCTAGTTATGCTTTGGGGAGAAGAAAAATCCAATACAGGGTAGGCTTCTTGAATTTGTAGGGAGTTTGGAATATTCAATCACAGAGAAGTTTAGTAGATAAATAGTGGGGAAAATGTCAATTATCGAATCACCCAATATTTATTAAATGCCCACTGACATCTTCAAAATATTTCAGATGCAGAAAGTAGTTCCAAATGGACAAAGCACTTCACCATCTGAACTATTTAAAACCCCATTCTAAGTGACTGTAGTGTGGAAAAACTTCCTTTGAGAGAAAAAAGATCCACAAAACCATCTTTACTTGTTTATCAAGCTGAGAAGCTTCCTGGAGTTGAAAAGGAAGTATAATAACTCAAAAGTACTGAGTAATTGAACTCAACTCACCTTTGAATGTTTTTTAATTTTAGCAGTTTTTCTGTCTTAGGCACATAAAAAGTGCAAACCTGCTTAGAGAAAAGGCTCTTGACTTGCAAATAAGAAATAGGCAGCTTGATAATAAGAAAAACAAAATGCAAGTAAAACAGCAAATGATATTACAAATACATTGAAAATGTCACCTCTAAAAAGAACCATGGCTCGAGGTCATAACACATGCAAGTGATTTTAATAATCTAAAAAGCAATACCAGAGATGGTTGGAGAGAAAACCAAAATAACACATGATACCTGAACAAAATATTTAATTATTGTAATTGTTTAGAATTGTAAGAAAAATCTCTTTAGCTGATCAGAATGTTCTCAGTAGACAGAATTGTATTCTTTAAAAATATATATATAAATCTCAAACATATGAATTTTTTTCTTATAATGTAACATAAAAATCCCGGAATGGTTTATGTGGTTTTTGCCAAATCACCCAGATCTTTCAAACAATAAGATAAAAGTACATATACCTATACATAAGCTGACTATTCCTCAAGAGCACAAATTTCAAAAAAAAAATAATTTAGGGTCAAACAATCTCCATACCATGAGCAAGACAGTCTGTGTGTTTTTTATATGTACTGGCCATATATGGTATAATAAATTATTATGGCAAAGTAAATATGAATTATGCATGGCATGAGCCCTTTCTATTACTCTAGCCTCATTTTCTATTACTCCCAAAATGTTCTTACAGTCTAACCATATTTAACTGCTTATACTCCCATAACATCCCCAGATTCTCCTAGCTTACTATGCCTCTGCTTAGTAATATAATTTTTCTTTCTGGCACTCTGTTCCCAATTTGACCACAAGGGAGGTAACTACTCATCCTTTAAGACTGAATTCAAATATCGTCTCCTCCCTGAAGCCTTTCTTGTCCATTCCCAATGCTACCAGACATCTCCTATGCAACCCATTGGTAATCATCATATTGTATTCTAATTATTTAAATCTCCTTGAGACCAGAGACTATGTCTTATTTTGTCATTCTGAGTTTCTTGTCTTGTGAGTTGCAGAACACAACACTGTGTCAGGCTCCTATTGGATCACTGGATGAACGGTGGGCAAATGTCTATCACTGCCACTAGTCTATGAATTCCTTGAGGATACGGCTTTGTGCTATTTATTGCAGTAGCCACAAATTTAACATAGTACTCACTGCAACGTAGCCCTAAATAAAATGTTGCAATGAATTGCCTTGCAATCAAGAGGACAGGGTGTAATGAGCTAGGGCCTAAGGTTTAACCTATTATTTTGTAATAGTAGAGAAATATAGATTTGCATACCTATACAGAAAGAAAACATAACATATACAAAGATTGCTGGTCTTATTAATGTAAACTCCTTTTTGCAAATTATTTTGTTACCATTTATTTTCTGGAAAATCTCAGAAACATGTTTCTTTATAGAAGAATCTCTCAGTAAAAAAATAGAAGTTACTCCATAAATCTTTGACCACCATGGATACCATTCTCATAATGCAAAGAATAAAGGAAACAACAAAAAAAAAGAAAGAGCTGTTATTTTAAAACTTAGTCAGATTTTAAGCAATGTGATATTATAGGAAAGTCAGTACAATATAGTGGACTCTAGGGTCAAAAATGCCAGGGTTGGAATCTCAACCATAGGCTTCACATATATGCTAGGCACCCTCAAGTTTATTTAACTTCTTTGTGCCTCCATTTCCTCGGCTGTAAAGTGAGAAGGAAAATAATAGTGCTTTCCTCATAGCAATATTGTGAAGATTACATTAGTTAAGGCTTTTGTAAAGTGCTGTGTCTGTCTGCCACACAAAATATGTTCAATAAATGTAAGTGATTGTGATGTTAATATACAGAGGTCTTTTTAATGATGGGGTGAAATTCCATCATTTCCAGTGTGAAAAGATAAAAGGTCCAAAATCCTCACATATGACTTGGCTAAGCAAAGAAGATCTGAATTGTTACAGTTCTTATGAAATAAGCACCTCCATGGCCTTTAAATTTCTTTATTAGGCAAAGCACCTGGAAGCTGCAAGACTCTGTGGAACAGGATGCCCTTTGCAGAACAAACGAAATTTGAATACATTTAATTCCATCGCAGGTATTAAGAAAAAAATTGCAAGCAGAAAATATTGTTATATTATAGCACATATATTACTACCCATACATGTACCCAGATCAAAAACACTGCCATCAGTTATTAATAACTATTCTATTGAAAATTATTTGTTGTGCTATCTATTGATACTCACTATTACAGTTAAGAGTTTCTCTAACTAAAGAAAACCTTTATTAAAATTTCAGTTGTTCTCTCTTTACTTTTCCGTGCATTATTTTTAGTTAATTGGTTAATTTTTCATAGGTGTGATTATTCTGTAGAAATACATCTGTAATTCATGAAACATTTTTCACATTAATATAAACCCCCACTATTAATTTAAACATAAATTAACTTTCTACATAATATTGTGACAAGGGAATATATTACATCACTTAAATATTTCTCTATTATTGGACATTTAGGTTGTTTAATTTTTATTACAGTATAAATAATGCTACCATGACTATTTTCATACATCCTTTTTTCCTGCTTTATTTCTTTAGATTAAAGTCCCAGGAAAAGATTAAGGTACTAAGAAATTTTAAAATTGAAGAAAAATTCAAACTGAGAATTTGATATGTTAGTTTTAGATGTACTTCCTATAAATTGGGAATAAATTTACTAGCAGCAAAACATCTTGATCTATTTTGAAGACCCAGTGTTCCACAGGACATGTACATAACAAATTTTTTTAACTTTTAAGTTCAGGAGTACATGTACAATTTTGTTATATAGGTAAACCTGTGTCATGGGGGTTTGTCATACAGATTATTCCATCACCCAGGTATTAAGCCTAGTACCCATTAGTTATTTTTACCAATCTTCTCCCTCCTCCCACCCTCCACCTTCTGGTAGGCCCCAGTGTGTGTTGTTCCCCTCTATGTGTCCATGTGTTTCCATTATTTAGCTCCCACTTATAAATGAGAACATGCAGTATTTGGTTTCTGTTCCTGCATTAATTCACTTAGCATAATGGCCTCCAGCTCCATTCATGTTCCTGCAAAAGACATGATTCATTCTTTTTTATGGCTGCAGAGTCTTTGATGATGTATATGTACCACATTTTCTTTATCCAGTCTACCACTGATGGGCATTTAGGTTGATTCCATGTCTTTGTTAGTGTGAACAGTGCTACAATGAACAGGAGAGAGTGGCATGACATACTTAAAGTACTGAAAGAAAAAAAAACTTTCATTGTAGAATAGTATAACCAGTGAAAATATCCTTCAAGCATTAAAAATAAATAAAGACTTTCCTAGACAAATAAAAGCTGAGAAATTTCATCAACACCAGACCTATGCTACAAGAAATGCTAATGGGAGGTTTTCAATCTGAAAGAAAAGAATGTTAATGAGCAATAAGACATCATTGGATGATACAAAACATACTGGTGATAGTAAGTACACAAAAAACCACAGAATATTATAGCACTGTAATTGTAGTGTCTGAACTACTTATATCTTGAGTAGAAACACTAAAAGAACTTATCAAAAATAATAGCTACAACAGTGTTTCAAGACACAGACAGTATAATATATAACTAAACAAAATGGCAGAAGTCCTGACTTATCAATAATAACATTAAATGTAAACAGACAAAATTATCTAATACAGACATACAGCAGTTGAATGGATAAATAAATTAGACCCAAAAGTCTGTTGCCTACAAGAAATATACTTCATGTATAAAGACACCATAGACTGAAAATAAAGGGATGGAAAAAAATTCCATGACAATGGAAATGAAAAAAGAGCAGGAATAGCTACACTAATATCAGACAAAACAGTTTTCAAGACAAAAACTATAAGAGACAAAGAAGGTCATTATATAATGATAAAGTGGTCAATTCAACAGAGAATATAACAGTTATAAATATATATTCACCCAACACAGGAGCACACAAATATGAAATGCAAATGTAATTAGAGCTAAAGAAAAAAATAGGCCCCAGTACAATCATAGCTGGAGGCTTCAACATCCCAATTTCAGCATTTGACAGATCATCCAAACAGAAAATTAAAAAAGAAACATTGGACTTATTCTGCACTATAGACCAAGTGGACCTATTAGATATTTACAATGGCTGCAGAATACACACTCTTCTCTTCAGCACATGGATCATTTTCAAGGATAGACCATATATTAGACCACAAAACAAGTTTTTAAAAATTTAAAATAATTGAAATAATATCAAGTATCATCTCTGACCACAATGGAATAAAACTAGAAATCAATTACAAGAGGAATATTGGAAACTATACAAATATGTGAAAATTAAACAATATGCTCCTGAATGACCAGTGGGTCAATGAAGACATTAAAAAGTAAGTTAAATAAATTATTTAAACAAATAAAAATGGAAATGCAACATACCAAAACCTGTGAGATACAGCAAAAGCAATACTAAGAGGAACATTTATAGCTATAAGCGTCTACATCAAAAAAGTAAAAAAACTTCAAATAAACAACCTAACAATACATAATAAAGAACTAGAAAAGCAAGAAGAAGCCATCCTAAGCATTTAAACACTGGTGCTAATAGCATCTGCTAATACCCTTAATAGGGTAAACTTAAAGAATACACAGAATTCTTTATCTCTTCCCAACTTTTATTAGAAGTTTTAAATTTTATAAAATTTGAAAGAATGGTACAATGAAAACCCATACACACTTCTTCTGGACTTACCACATACACTTTCTGTGTGTGTCTGTATGCTTTATTTTGTGAAACCACTTAAAAGTAAGTTGTACACATCATGACCCTTCACCCCAAAGACTACAACATGCATCTCCTACATAATCATAGACCATCATTACTTCTAAAAAAAAGAACCATAATTCTATAATATCCAGTAAACTACCCATATCCAAATCTATAGAAGTGTACCAATGACATACACACACATATATCACACACACACACACATATCACACACACACACACACACACACACACGCAAACATATGTTTCAAATTCAGAATTCAATCAAGTTGTATGGGCTTTTTGTGGTTATGACTTTTCAGTCTCTTTAAATGTAGAACATTATCTTACCTGTTGGTTGGTTGGTTGGTTGGTTGGTTGGTTGGTTGGTTGGTTAGTTGGCTGGTTGGTTGGTTTGATAGTTTTTCAAGATATAAGCGTTTATTGAATGTCCTGGCAATTATCTTGTAAAGTTCCCAAATTCTGGATCTGTCTCTTGCCTCCTAAATACATTCAGGTTCATTTTGGCAAAAATACGAGCAGTGATGTAGCGTACCTCTCCTAGCACCCCAACAGAAAGCGTATAAGGTTAAGTTGTCCCTCCATTAGTGTGGCTAAGTGTGAACACTTGTCAAGTTGATGACCACCAGAATTTCCATTGTAAAGGTATATTTTTTCTTTTGTGATAATTAAGAATACATAGAATATTAGGAACATTGACCACTGAAGGTTTGAGGGGACCTAATATATGTTATTCCTAGTTTTGCACTGAATTTTGTGCTAATGGTAAATACCCCAGGGAGAACCATCCATAACAGTAATTCTTTACCTGCTCAAAAGCAATGAGATTGATTGTACCTTAGAGCTTGAACCATAAATTTCCTGAAACTCCAAAGGAAGTTTGCTAGATCACATCTATTGGCACCTGTCACACATGGCTATGAATATGAGGGCACTTTATATTCTGTTAATGAGATTGGTTCCCGTGCAATTTGGAAAGCCAAAGATGGGTGGAGATATCACTCTGTGGCAGTGCTGGCCTATAAGCAAGTTCTAACAGATGTGAGCACTGCACTGGCAGACTCCACTTCCTATAGTCTATTCATCCAAATGTATGGCATAGGGCTGCCAAAGGCCACACAACATGACCTCTGGATCACAACTTTGGTGGATTGACTCAAGCCAAAAATCTAGTGGAAGCCCTGAGGATTCCACTACATCTAAATGATCTGTAAGGCCTAATTTTCTGCATTAACTGCTTATGCTTGAAGTTCTTAAGAGTGCATTCTGACTCCTCATTGGACCCTGTATGACAAAAGTGTAAATATTAGAGAAATTTAAAAGAAAAACAACAAACTGGCTAGGCATGGTGGCTCATACCTGTAATCCCTGCTCTGTGGGTGGCTGAGATGGGCAGATTACCTGAGGTCAAGAGTTCAAGACCAGACTGGCCAACATGGCAAAACCCCATCTCTACTAAAAATACAAAAAATTAGCCTGACATGGTGGCAGGTACCTGTAATACCAGCTACTCGGGAGGCTGAAGCAGGAGAATCACTTGAACCCATGAGGTGGAGGTTGCAGCGAGCTGAAATCACACCACTGCACTCCAGCATGGGCGACAAGAGCAAAACTCTGCCTCAAAAAAAAAAACAAACAACAAACAAAAAACAAAGTTTTCACCACAGCAGTCTCAGATATTTTATAGAGGACTAAATTACTATGAAGTTTCAATAAGTGAATATTATGCAGAAATATGCAACGTAGAATGCAGATGAGACATAACAGCAGTAATGACACTCTTCAGTCAGTCAGTTGAAGACTCTTTTCTGGGAAAAAGTGAAGAGTTCAAATACATCCAAATACAATTAGCTAAATGTTACACTTTTCCTTTAAAAGTAATCTGTAGGTTTTCTTGACTTTCTACTTCAGAGGCCACCACAAATCAGTGACCATACCCAAAAGCAGTATTACTCAGATTTTCTAGAATGTCAGTGGGTTTCTCATGGGAAAAATGAATAGCTTTTCTACAAAACATGGTACCTTGGGTTATTAAGCAAAAATAATTCAGGACAGACTGCCAATTTAGCAGCTTTAGAGACACTCTGTGAAAGTTACGAGAAAGTCTTTTCCCATGGTGCTGACTTGCCTAAATGGAAGCATCTGGTCTGATGATTAGTGCACCCCAGAAAAACTCTAGGGAAAATATGCAACTTTTCTTCTATAGAACCCAAGTATTCATCACCCACAACTTCCCAAGTTCTTCAACATTGTAGGGTCATGGACTTTCTCCTTTAATATCTCAGCAAGCCCTTTCTTCATACACCAAGAAGTCTGGGGGACTAAGGAGTCCTAACTTTTTTCTTAGAGGATTATCAAAGGATTGTGTTCTCTCATATGCCTCTCACTCTGATTCCCTGCTTTATCTGAAATTTTTATCACACTTTCATAATAATTTGCACCCCACGCACACACCTATTCTCCTCCTTCATAGCTGATCCCAAAATAGATGTTTGCCCTGTCTTTTATCACTCTCAGAAAAACAGAGAATTTTACTAAAATTATTGGGTTAAAAGAAGGAAATGTGTGTAGAAAAAGCAACAATGTAAAATGTAATATTAGCTATCTCTGTTTCTGAAGTCCCTCTTCCTTTCCCTCTACAAGTTTTTTTGTTGTTTTGTTGTGTTTTTTTCCTTTTGAATACTCTCCCCATCATGGTCCATGTTGCTGCCATGTTGCTGTAGGACCCTTCTCTGCAGGTGGCCCTTCTCTGTAACTCCACTTCTTCCTCGTTCTGTTGTCTCCCCACACATCTTAAGCTCACTCCTAAACTCCTGGTATTGCGTTATTTATTACATAAAGTTATTTTATTTTCATTGCTGCAGCCCTAACCCAACAATATGAGACCTCTGGCCTACATTCCCTAACCAAAAGACAGTTTAAAGTGTTGTCCAACATGTAAAAGTCACCTGTTCTAGAGTTTCTCTCTAATAACATTAAAAGAGTGTATCAATTAGGGATAGATTCTGCTTCATGAATAGTGATAGCTTTAATACATTGAAGGGGATGAATAACATTTTTTTCCACAAAATGAGAAGCATAGGGATAATACTATGGCTCCAAAAAGCCATCAGTGACCCAGGCTTTTCTAACTTTCAGCAACACAAGACTTAGCCTGTGTCCATTTCACTCATGCTCATAATACCAATGATTGCATTCAGTTAGGAAGACTGGCAAGTGTTCAAAAATTAAAAATTAAAGAAGCAAACTAAAAAGACAAGCCACCCAAGTCTATCTCTTTTAAAAGACCTTTCTGGAAGCCCCATCCAAAATTATTACTTTCTCTTTCATTGGCCACACCTGCGTTACACACCCACCACTCTATAAGGGTATGTAAAAACCAGGGTTCCGTTAGTAAAAAAAAAGACAGAATAAATATTTATTAGGCAACCAGAAACATCCATGAATTGCCACACTGTTGAAACAAATTCAAGATGTTATCAAGCAACAAGTATCTAAATTCCGTCAAGGGTTCAAGCAAACCAAAAGGCTCAGAGGAAGCAGAGAGAGGTCTGAAATGTTAAGAGTAGATCCCTCTGTTATTCTCACTAAACATTTTCTTAGGTCCAGAATAGATGAGATCTATGTGGGATTCACATGACCACTTTACACACCATGAGCACTTAAATTGTGAAACACAGCCACTTTGTATCCCAAAGTGAGCTGTCACCTTCATGACATTCTGCATAGATGAGATCACCTGCCTTCTCCCTACCTGCAACCAGAGTAATTTTCTCCACCAAGCTGCATTTGTTTCTTCCTCTCAGCCTGCAACCGGTGTTTCCTTTTTGTTGTTGTTGGGGGAAGGGGATAGAACTGTTTTCTTTTAGTTTTAATTTTTTTAATTAAGGAGGATAAAGTTCTTAGGCCAAAATCTTTTGTACAAAACAGTGTGGATAGAGTATATATTCTCTCCATCTTGAGCATGCCCCCCTCTACCCCCAGTCATAAGATTTTTTCTTCCCTTACATCTACAAAGTAAACCAATAAATTTCTGAAACCTGCTAATTCCCATTTATTGTGAAGGGCATCACAGTGCAATGTGGAAAGTTTTACAATAGAAGTATTCCTAAGTTACCATGGGTGCCCTGAATTCGACAAGTAACCCAGCCAGAGGGTAAAGAAAGAGACCGAATTGTTATATTTTACAGGGGAACACTCCTATTCTGAATCTTAAAGGTATGTGGGGGATGCACATTCCAAGCAGAGGTAAAACAGGCAGAAGGAAATGAGTAAAGGGAAAAACCTCTGGTATGTGTAGAAAACAATAGAATAAACTGAACATAAGTGTGAGAAAGAGAGTGCTGACAGATAAATGGAGAGGGGATTAAGGTCAGATCATGGAGGACCTCATATATCATCTTAAAAACCTTTAGCTTGATCCTGCAATTGATGGTGAGAACACATGAAGTGTTTTAGACTAGAAAGTACCAAGATCAGCATTACATTTTAGATGTGGCTTTAGATTAAAAGATGATGATAAAAGGTAGGGATAAAATGCAGTCAAGGAAATTAGATTGAAGGCTGCTGTGATAACCCAGGCAAGAGACGACAGGAACCTAAATGAAACACGTGAAATAAAAAGTGAGTAATATTAGAGAAATAGTGTGTTTATTCATTTAATGAATGTTTCTTGAATGTGCCTTATGTGATAGACACTGTTATGGGCACAGGAATATAACACCGAGCAAAAAAAGCAAAACTCCCTAGCCTCATGGAACTTACAAGAAAATGTTAAAGTTCTTCCAGATCTATGGATAATACTGATTTACTTGTGCAACCAAAGGTTGACCTTCACAGGATTTTTGGCCCAGTCCTAAAACATAGTCTTTGTCAGAAGAGAAAACAGGAGACAAGAAGTCAAAGTCCTCACGCATGGTGTTCTAAATCTTGAAGGACCTGGTTCTTGGAGAATACTAATTCAATGAAACCACCTCATCAATGCATCTCTCTGATGAATAAAAATAACTTCCACAGATCTCTGAAACACCTTTAACATTTTCATCTTTTGGAAATACAGCAGTTACCTCCTAGCTTGCTTTTCTTGGCAACTTTGATGGTGCAGTGATGTCAGGATATAGCATTATTATTTACCTAGGCTGTACACTGATCATTCCATTTTTTCATAAAAATAATGCCCTTGGGAATCCTCGGGGACCACTTTTAAATTATTGTATATTTGCTCAACTTTGCAACTTTCGAGATATCTGTTACCCTCAGCTCTAATTTTAAAAGCAACCTCCTCAGATCATATTTTTACTAACTCAGAAAGTTTTTAAAGTAGTTTTACACATTTGCTTCCTTACTCTGTTTTAAAGCAATAAGAACCTGAAAACACTTCAGACTGTTAACTAAGGTTAAAGTACTTATGGGAGAGCCTGTCTTTGAATTACTACATAATAGCAACTTTCTCATCATCCAACACCTGGCAAAGCAACTTTTTCCTACATCTTCTACTCTGAATATGTAATCAGCTTTTTCTAGTGCTTGCTCTACCTCTAGTTTGCTTGATAATCATAATTAAAGAGATAATTTCCTAATTTGGAAATGGAGTAATTGAATAACAACTTTCCCTTCAGCAAGGTGATTCTAGACTGTGTGATTAATAACAATTTTCAAACCAGACATTGTATTCCAGAGACAAGAGGGTGTTAATCAAAAAATAAATGTTTTAAACCAATTAAAATATCTAGACCAGATAAAACAAACCCCAATATATCAAATATATCAATGTTATAGATGAGAAATATGGCTCCTAGAACACTGTAGACATGCAAAGTCTCTGTTTTTAAAAATGGTAGATGGTGATGAAGGTAGTGGTTTTCTTGACAACTTTCTGATTTTCTTCTTGGCTATTGAGTGTTTTGATTTTTTTCTCCATTTAGGAGTTAATTTGGGTAACATATTTCCTGGGAAATCATCCATTTCAAGGAGCTTTTTATATCTATTAACATAGATTTTGAAAACCATTTTCTTGTAGCCCCATTAACTATGTCTATACTGGTGGTTCATTCCCTGTCCTCACCCAGAAGTGTATGTATTTATGCTTTCCCCTCTTCCCACCACTCCCTCGAAGAGGCTAAGTGGAAAGGTACCTATTTGAATAGGTTTATTTTGTTATTATTGTATTAAATCTCCTGGACATAGCAGTTCTACTATTTTTGTATTTCTAATTTATTAATTTATGTTTTAATCTTTATTCACTCCTTTCTTTTGCTTTCTTGAACACATTTTTTCAATACTTTATATGGAATTTTCAATATTGTATACTGAATAATTATTACTCTCTTTTCCTTAGATTTTATATGTAGTTTGCTTTCAAAATATTCTACAATTTCAGTTTTTATTTTCTATTTGACCTAAGAGTTGGTTAAAGTTACTGTTTCATTTGTTTTTACTTTTGCTAGGTATATTTAGTTTTACTAAATTATATTAAGAGATTATGGTTTTCTACTTTCTAGAATTTATTGAGATTTTCTTTGTAGGTTCATATGGACTTGCAAAGAAAGGTGAAGCTTCTGTGGTATAAACATCTTTATGACATGTCTATTAAGCATATTAAATTATATTATTAGGAGCTGGAGATGTGGGTGTTGGCTCCTGATATCATCTTTAATTTGGTCAAAAATGTGTTGTGCTGCTTGCCATGATCTTTGGATATTATAATATTTAAGTCTTTCCAAATTTTGACACCAATAATGCTTTCTGTTCTATTGTGCTCCTTTCTCTGAGTATTAGGAGGTTTTGCTCATTTTGTTTGTGTTATTTTGTAAGTGAGGGATTAGAAAAGATTATATTTATGGAGAAAAAATCATGTATTTCCAAAAATAAAATAAACGAGATAAACAAGGTCATATCTCATTATAGAAAGCCCCATATTAATTGCTACTTTTTCCCTAGTCTAAAATGCTCGATTACTCTAAGTTTAAGACAGATAACAGAACGGACATATTCCCAGGTTATTGTCTTTCTTTGTTGAAAGTGCTTTTGGTGACTCTGCTACTTTGCCCCTTTCTTAAGAATAATGTTTTTCGGCCTGGGGCGGTGGCTCATGCCTGTGATCCCAGCACTTTGGGAGGCCAAGGCAGGCAGATCACCTGAGGTCAGAAGTTTGAGACCAGACTGGCCAACATGGCAAAACCCCATCTCTACTAAAAATACAAAAATTAGCCAGGCATGATGGCAGGCACCTTTAATCCCAGCTACTCGGGAGGCTGAGGCAGGAGAATCATGTGAACCTGGGAAGCGGAGGTTGCAGTTAGCCAAGATTGTGCCATTGCACTCACCTGGGAGACAAGAGCAAAACTCCAACTCAAAAAAAAAAATATTTTTCTCTCTTGTGAAGTGAAAATGTAAAGTTTAATTCAATAACCTATTTCTTCCTTTACTATTTATTCATCAGTAATTTGTCACAAAATAACTGCTACTGATATTATAATCCTTTTCTGTATTTTCTTAGTGAAATGGACATAGTTTTGTTTGGGTTGGCAAGAATCCATTTACCCTAATGCTCATGGCAGTGGCCAGTTTTCACTTGGGGACCCACACCTCTCTATTTCAGTCCACCTGACTCTCCTGCTGAATCCAGAAGTAACATATGACCTAGGATGAGCCCCTGGTGACAATGGCTTTGTAGGAATTTATCCTGGTTCAACTGTAGCCCCTCAAAATTCACGTGTTGAAGTCTTAACCCTCGGTACCGCAGAAAGTCACTGCATTTAAAGATGGGCCTTTTAAAGTAATTAAGGTTAAATGAGGTCATTAAGATGGGCCCTAATTTATTATGACTGGCATCCTTATTTAAAAAGGTGATTAGTACACGAACACACAGAGGAATGACCATGTAAGGACACAATGCATAAGCAAGCCAAAGAGATGGGCTTCAGAAGAACACAGTCTGTGGCATTTTTTATGGCAGTCCTAGTGAACTAATACAAATGGGTATGTGACCCAAGTCAGGCTAATCAGTACCAATAGAATTCAATTCTGGAAATGAATATTCTTCACTATTGCATTTGGATGTTTTTCACTGCTACACTTGAAGAATGTTTTTCACCACTGCACCGCATTTTTACAACTGCATTGTAATTCAAAGGCATGGGCTGCTGCCGCCCTCCTACCGCTATGGAGCTATGCCTGTCAGAAAATGTAACCAACATTTAGAGCTGAAGGGCGCATTATAAAAGAAATAACACAATGCTGTCATTTGAGCCCCCGAGTTAAGGTGAACCTGAAATTGCATCTATTCCGGAATTTCAATTTTATGAGTCAATAAAAATCTCTTTTTGTAATAATCTGAATTGAGTTTTCTGTCTTTGTAGCCAATAAAGTCTTAATTAACACATTTAATATCCAAGAAATCTGAGCCAAAAATTGTCAAACTCACAGGCTGTTTCTTTTTTGAAATGGCAATTGCATTGAAATAATACAGTCCTATGGAAAGATGCCATGATCCCTATTTATAGAAAAATAATGCCCCCCGAAAAACAATTTTATAGGAAAATTCCTTGAAGGATCCATTCATTCTATAAAAGTCATTTCTTCTAGAAAGTATGACTGCTTTAGGTTGGAAGAGTTTTGGAGAGTTTAAGCTTTCGCTTTATATACCCTTACATCATTTTGTTCTTCACAACAAACACTATTTTAATAATATTTTCAAATAATAAAATGTATAATTTATAAATAAAAACAAAGTCATTCTGAAATCCTGAGTGGTGAGAAATTGATTTCTTGTAAATGCTTTAAATAACAGACTATAGTACTAAATACCTAGTTTTCACCAAGAAATTAAAGTTAAGAATTATTCTGCACCATAAGAAGAAAAATATAATTAAGGCAAATGCCCAGTTAATTTTGACATAAATAGTTAAGAAACCATCCTTAACACAGAAGCTTTCATTTTTTTTAATCTTCCATAGACCATATTAAATCTATATGCCAGTCACTCACCAAAACGCACTTCATTTCACCCATTCTAAACTTGTTCAGAAATGAAAAACACCAACACACTCAAAAACGCCTTCTATTTTTTATCTTTAAAGTGGGTTCAATGATGCAACATTTTCTCTTGAGCAACATTGTGTTGTATATATATTTTGCATGAAAAATACTAAGAATTTAAAATTTGGGAATTATGTACAGTAATTTTTTTCATATATTTAAAATTAATGCATAGCATGTTTTAAAATCAATTAGGAGGATACTATAGTATAATTTGTATATTTCATCAATAAAGAATTCTAACTTTTTACTTTTTGGAATTGAAACACATGCCTACAAATCAATGTTCACATTAAGTTTCATAAAAATTATTCATTTGCAGACTTTATCTTCACTAGCAAACACCAACATCTAAATTAATGTTATTTATAGCATTCATGCTGGATGTATATACCTTTTTCTCTCTTTCCATCATCTCTGGGTTCTACAAAATAGTATCAGTAACCCTTTCGCAGTTATTTTATGTTTCGTTCATTGTTCTTCACGATTTCACTCTCATTATGGGTATGTATGAATCCCACAACAACTTGGGTATGTTTGTGAATGTGTCTGTGGAGGCTGCTAACAGACAGTGACTTACAGTGCTCTCAGGCTTGTTGTGATGTTCATGATTTTGCCTTCTCTGTGAGGTGATAAAAAATTTTAAGAAAATTGCATACTAATTAGTGAACAGATTTCAAAACCTATGAAACTAAATTGGAGGCACATCTCTCTCAGAAGCTCTTGAAGCTCTTAATGCTCCAAAAATTACCAATAACTCCTCTTTCCCTCAGCATTACACACTGCTCATAATCATTTGCTTCACACAAACACCAATTGAACAGTAATAAATAAAAAAAGAAGTGGTTTTACCTGTTGTCCTGAGAATTAGCCAGTTATGAGGCTCCTGTTGATTTCTGCATTTTTGGATTGAAAAATCTATAATAAATAGCTCTAAAGCCAAAAGAAAGAAGAGTAGGTTTTTACTGGTGAGGCATTGCCTAAAATGGTTTACAAGAATATGAAAAACTAGATCAACCCTGATATGAGAATCCTATTGATCGAAAAGTAAAAGAACATTTACAATGGCATGAAAATCTTGAATGTTCTGCTTTATACTTAATCCAGTAATACGTGAAAAAAAATTGCTATGGCTATTCAGCCATTTCAATAGTTGAAATGTCAATCTGTAGCAATTTTTAGTTCAAAATAGTTTCCAAATAGCTAATATCTGTAACTTTTATATATTGTTTACTATATTAGCTGCAAGGGACAAATGGTTAACAAGACCAGTCCCCACTCTCAAGTCTAGAAGGGTATAAGACAAGTAAATAGACAATTGAAATTGCCAATAAGCTCTTAGACTTACGAGATTGTCTAAGGAGGGGTTTTTTTTTCTCTATCTCCTTCAGTTCTGCCCCGATCTTAGTTATTTCTTGTATTCTGCTAGCTTTTCAATTTGTTTGCTCTTGATTCTCTAGTTCTTTCAATTGTGATGTTAGGGTGCTGATTTTAGATCCTTCCTGCTTTCTCTTGTGGGCAATTAGTGCTATAAATTTCCCTCTACACACTGCTTTCAATGTGTCCCAGAGATTCTAGTACGTTGTGTCTTTGTTCTCATTGGTTTCAAAGAACATCTTTATTTGTGCCTGAATTTCATTGTTTACCCAGTAGTCATTCAGGAGCAGGTTGTCCAGTTTCCATGTAGTTGTGCAGTTTGGAGTGAGTTTCTTAATCCTGAGTTCTAATTTGATTGCACTGTGGTCTGAGAGACTGTTTGTTGTGATTTCTGTTCTTTTGCATTTGCTGAGGAGTGTTTACTTCCAATTATGTGGTCAATTTTAGAATAAGTGAGATGTGGTGCTGAGAAGAATGTATATTCTGTTGATTTGGAGTGGAGAGTTCTGTAGATGTCTATTAGGTCTGCTTGGTCCAGAGATGAGTTCAAGTCCTGGATATCCTTGTTAAATTTCTGTCTCATTGATCTGTCTAATATTGACAGTGGGTGTTAAAGTCTCCCATTATTACTGTGTGGGAGTCTAAGTCTCTTTGTAGGTCTCTAAGAACTTGCTTCATGAATTTCGGTGTTCCTGTATTGGGTGCATATATATTTAGGATAGTTAGCTCTTCTTGTTGCATTGATTCCTTTACCATTATGTAATGCCCTTCTTTGCCTCTTTTGAACTTTGTTGGTTTAAAGTCTGTTTTATCAGAGACTAGGATTGCAACCCCTGCTTTTTCTTGCTTTCCATTTGCTTGGTAAATATTCCTCCATCCCTTCTTTTTGAGCCTATGTGTTTCTTTGCATGTGAGATGGGTCTCCTGAATGCAGCACACAGATGGGTCTTGACTCTGTTCAATTTGCCAGTCTGTGTCTTTTAATTGGGGCATATAGCCCATTCACATTTAAGGTTAATATTGTTATGTGTGAATTTGATGCTGTCATTATGATGCTAGCGGTTATTTTGCCCATTAATTGATGCAGTTTCTTCATAGTGTCAATGGTCCTTACAGTTTGGTATGTTTTTGCAGTGGCTGGTACCGGTTGCTCCTTTCCATGTTTAGTGCTTCCTTCAGGAGCTCTTGTAAGGTAGGCCTGGTGGTGACAAAATCTCTCAGCATTTGTTTGTCTGTAAAGGATTTTACTTCTCCTTCACTTATGAAGCTTAGTTTGGCTGGATATGAGATTCTGGGTTAAAAATTATTTACTTTAAGAATGTTGAGGGGTGGAGCCAAGATGGCCAAATAGGAACAGCTCCAGTCTACAGCTCCCAGCGTGAGCGACGCAGAAGATGGGTGATTTCTGCATTTCCATCTGAGGTGCCAGGTTCATCTCACTAGGGAGTGCCAGACAGTGGGTGCAGGACAGTGGGTGCAGTACACTGTGCATGAACCAAAGCAGGGGGAGGCACTGCCTCACTTGGGAAGTGCAAGGGGTCAGGGAGTTCCCTTTCCTAGTCAAAGAAAGGGGTGACAGATGGCACCTGGAAAATCAGGTCACTCCCACCCTAATACGGCGCTTTTCCAACAGGCGTAAAAAACGGCACACCAGGAGATTATATCCTGCACATGGCTCAGAGGCTCCTACGCCCACAGAGTCTCACTGATTGCTAGCACAGCAGTCTGAGATCAAACTGCAAGGTTGCAGCAAGGCTGGGGGAGGGGCGCCTGCCATTGACCAGGCTTGATTAGGTAAACAAAGCAGCCAGGAAGCTCGAACTGGGTGGAGCCCACCACAGCTCAAGGAGGCCTGCCTGCCTCTGTAGGGTCTGCCTCTGGGGGCAGGGCACAGACAAACAAAAAGACAGCAGTAACCTCTGCAGACTTAAATGTCCCTGTCTGACAGCTTTGAAGAGAGTAGTGGTTCTCCCAGCATGCAGCTGGAGACCTGGGAATGGGCAGACTGCCTCCTCAAGTGGGTCCCTGACCCCCGAGCACCCTAACTGGGAGACATCCCCCAGTAGAGGCAGACTGACACCTCACACGGCTGGGGACTCCTCTGAGACAAAACTTCCAGAGAAATGATCGGGCAGCAGCATTTACGGGTCACCAAAATCTGCTGTTCTACAGCCACCGCTGCTCTGCAGCCACCGCTGCTGACACCCAGGCAAACAGGGTCTGGAGTGGACCTCTAGCAAAGTCCAACAGACCTGCAGCTGAGGGTCCTGACTGTTACAAGGAAAACTAACAAACGGAAAGGATATCCACACCAAAAACCCATCTGTACATCACCATCATCAAAGACCAAAAGTAGATAAAACCACAAATATGGGGAAGAAACAGAGCAGAAAAACCAGAAACTCTAAAAAGCAGAGTGCCTCTCCTCCTCCAAAGGAACGCAGCTCATCACTAGCAACGGAACAAAGCTGGATGGAGAATGACTTTGATGAGTTGAGAGGAGAAGGCTTCAGACGATCAAACTACTCTGAGCTACAGGAGGAAATTCAAACCAATGGCAAAGAAGTTAGAAACTTTGAAAGAAAAATAGACGAATGGCTAACTAGAATAACTAATGCAGAGAAGTCCTTGAAGAAGCTGATGGAGGTGAAAACCAAGGCTCGAGAACTACATGAAGAATGAAGAAGCCTCAGGAGCCGATGCGATCAACTGGAAGAAAGGGTATCAGTGATGGAAGACGAAATGAATGAAATGAAGTGAGAAAGGAAGTTTAGAGAAAAAAGAAAAAAGAATAAAAAGAAATGAACAAAGCCTCCAAGAAATATGGGACTATGTGAAAAGACCAAATCTACGTCTGATTGGTGTACCTGAAAGTGATGGGGAGAATGGAAAAAACTTGGAAAATGCTCTGCAGGATATTATCCAGGAGAACTTCCCCAATCTAGCAAGGCAGGCCAACATTCAAATTTGGAAAATACAGAGAACGCCACAAAGATACTCCTCGAGAAGAGCAACACTAAGACACATAATTGTCAGATTCACCAAAGTTGAAATGAAGGAAAAAATGTTAAGGGCAGCCAGAGAGAAAGGTCGGGTTACCCACAAAGGGAAGCACATCAGACAAACAGCGAATCTCTCAGCAGAAACTCTACAAGCCAGAAGAGAGTGGGGGCCAATATTCAACATTCTTAAAGAAAAGAATTTACAACCCAGAATCTCATATCCAGCCAAACTAAGCTTCACAAGCGAAGGAGAAATAAAATCCTTTACAGACAAGCAAATGCTGAGAGATTTTGTCACCACCAGGCCTGCCCTAAAAGAGCTCCTGAAGGAAGCACTAAACATGGAAAGGAACAACCGGTACCAGCCACTGCAAAATCATGCCATAATGTAAAGACCATCAAGGTTAGGAAGAAACTGCATCAACTAACGAGCAAAATAACCAGCTAACATCATAATGACAGGACCAAACTCACACATAACAATATTGACTTTAAATGTAAATAGGCTAAATGCTTCAATTAAAAGACACAGACTGGCTAATTGGCTAAAGAGTCAAGACCTATCAGTGTGCTGTATTCAGGAAACCCATCTCACATGCAGAGACACACATGGGCTCAAAATAAAGGGATGGAGGAAGATCTACCAAGCAAATGGAAAACAAAAAAAGGCAGGGGTTGCAATCCTAGTCTCTGATAAAACAGACTTTAAACCAACAAAGATCAAAAGAGACAAAGAAAGCCATTACTTAATGGTAAAGGGATCAATTCAACAAGAAGAGCTAACTATCCTAAATATATATGCACCCAATACAGGAGCACCCAGATTCATAAAGCAAGTCCTTAGTGACCTACAAAGAGACTTAGTCTCCCACACATTAATAATGGGAGACTTTAACACCCCACTGTCAACATTAGACAGATCAACGAGACAGAAAGTTAACAAGGATACCCAGGAATTTAACTCAGAACCAAGTGGACCTAATAGACATCTACAGAACTCTCCACCCCAAATCAACAGAATATACATTTTTTTCAGCACCACACCACACCACACCTATTCCAAAACTGACCACATAGGTGGAAGTAAAGCACTCCTCAGCAAATGTAAAAGAACAGAAATTACAACAAACTGTCTCTCAGACAACAGTGTAATCAAACTAGAACTCAGGATTAAGAAACTCACTCAAAACCACTCAACTACATGGAAACTGAACAACCTGCTCCTGAATGAATACTGGGTACATAATGAAATGAAGGCAGAAATAAAGATGTTCTTTGAAACCAACAAGAACACAGACACAACCTACCAGAATCTCTGGGACACATTCAAAGCAGTGTGTGAGGGAAATTTATAGCACTAAATGCCCACAAGAGAAAGTAGGAAAGATCTAAAATTCACACCCTAACATCACAATTAAAAGTACTAGAAAAGCAACATCAAACACATTCAACAGCTAGCAGAAGGTAAGAAATAACTAAATTCAGAGCAGAACTGAAGGAAATACAGACACAAAAAAACCTTCAAAAAATTAATGAACCCAGGAGCTGGTTTTCTGAAAGGATCAACAAAATTGATAGACCGCTAGCAAGACTAATAAAGAAGAAAATAGAGAAGAATCAAATAGATGCAATAAAAAATGATAAAAGGGATATCACCACCGATCCCACAGAAATACAAACTACCATAAGAGAATACTACAAACACCTCTACACCAATAAACTAGAAAATCTAGAAGAAATTGATAAATTCCTCGACACATACACCCTCCCAAGACTAAACCAGGAAGAAGTTGAATCTCTGAATAGACCAGTAACAGGCTCTGAAATTGTGGCAATAATTAATAGCTTACCAACAAAAAAAGTCCAGGACCAGATGGATTCACGGCCAAACTCTACCAGAGGTACAAGGAGGAGCTAGTACCATTCCTTCTGAAAATATTCCAATCAATAGAAAAAGAGGGAATCCTCCCTAACTCATTTTATGAGGCCAGCATCATCCTGATACCAAAGCCTGGCAGAGACACAACAAAAAAAGAGAATTTTAGACCAATATCCTTGATGAACATTGATGCAAAAATCCTCAATAAAATACTGGCAAACTGAATCCAGCAGCACATCAAAAAGCTTATCCACCATGATCAAGTGGGCTTCATCCTGGGATGCAAGGCTGGTTCAACATACACAAATCAATAAATGTAATCCAGCATATAAACAGAACCAAAGACAAAAACCACATGATTATCTCAATAGATGCAGAAAAGGCCTTTGACAAAATTCAACAACCCTTCATGCTAAAAACTCTCAATAAATTAGGTATTGATGGGATGTATCTCAAAATAATAAGAGCTATCTATGACAAACCCACAGCCAATATCAGACTGAATGGTCAAAAACTGGAAGCATTCCCTTTGAAAACTGGCACAAGACAGGGATGCCCTCTCTCACCACTCCTATTCAACATAGTGTTGGAAGTTCTGGCCAGGGCAATTAGGCAGGAGAAGGAAATAAAGGGTATTCAATTGGGAAAAGAGGAAATCAAATTGTCCCTGTTTGCAGATGACATGATTGTATATCTAGAAAACCCCATTGTCTCAGCCCAAAATCTCCTTAAGCTGATAAGCAACTTCAGCAAAGTCTCAGGATACAAAATCAATGTACAAAAATCACAAGCATTCTTATACACCAATAACAGACTAACAGAGAGCCAAATCATGAGTGAACTCCCATTCACAATTGCTTCAAAGAGAATAAAATACCTAGGAATCCAATTTACAAGGGATGTGAAGGACCTCTTCAAGGAGAACTACAAACCACTGCTCAATGAAATAAAAGAGGATACAAACAAATGGAAGAACATTCCATGCTCATGGGTAAGAAGAATCAATATCGTGAAAATGGCCATATGGCCCAAGGTAATTTATAGATTCAATGCCATCCCCATCAAGCTACCAATGACTTTCTTCACAGAATTGGGAAAAACTACTTTAAAGTTCATATGGAACCAAAACAGAGCCCGCATCGCCAAGTCAATCCTGAGCCAAAAGAACAAAGCCAGAGGCATCATTCTACCTGACTTCAAACTATACTACAAGGCTACAGTAACCAAAACAGCATGGTACTGGTACTAAAACAGAGATCTAGATCAATGGAACAGAACAGAGCTCTCAGAAATAATGCCACATATCTACAACCATCTGATCTTTGACAAACCTGACAAAAACAAGCCATGGGGAAAGGATTCCCTATTTAATAAATGGTGCTGGGAAAACTGGCCAGCCATATATAGAAAGCTGAAACTGGATCCCTTCCTTACACCTTATACAAAAATTAATTCAAGATGGATTAAAGACTTACATGTTAGACCTAAAACCATAAAAACCCTAGAAGAAAACCTAGGCAATACCATTCAGGACATAGGCATGGGCAAGGACTTCATGTCTAAAACACCAAAAGCAATGGCAACAAAAGCCAAAATTGATAAATGGGATCTAATTAAACTAAAGAGCTTCTGCACAGCAAAAGAAACTACCATCACAGTGAACAGGCAACCTACAAAATGGGAGAAAATTTTCACAACCTACTCATCTGACAAAGGGCTAATATCCAGAATCTACAATGAACTCAAATAAATTTACAAGAAAAAAACAAACAACCCCATCAAAAGTGGGTGAAGAATATGAACAGACACTTCTCAAAAGAAGACATTTATGCAGCCAAAAAACACATGAAAAAATGCTCATCATCACTGGCCATCAGAGAAATGCAAATCAAAACCACAATGAGATACCATGTCACACCAGTTAGAATGGCAATCATTAAAAAGTCAGGAAACAACAGGTGCTGGAGAGGATGTGGAGAAATAGGAACACTTTTACACTGTTGGTGGGACTGTAAACTAGTTCAACCATTGTGGAAGTCAGTGTGGCAATTCCTCAGGGATCTAGAACTAGAAATACCATTTGACCCAGCAATCCCATTACTGGGTATATACCCAAAGGACTATAAATCATGCTGCTATAAAGACACATGCACACGTATATTTATTGTGGCACTATACACAATAGCAAAGACTTGGAACCAACCCAAATGTCCAACAATGATAGACTGGATTAAGAAAATGTGGCACATATATACCATGGAATACTATGCAGCCATAAAAAAGGATTAGTTAATGTCCTTTGCAGGGACATGGATGAAGCTGGAAACCATCATTCTCAACAAACTAACAAAAGAACAGAAAACCAAACATCACATGTTCTCACTCATAAGTGGGAGTTGAACAATTAGAACACATGGACACTGGGGGTGGGGGCCATCACACACTGGGGCCTGTTGGGGGGTGGGGGAGTTGGGGAGGGATAGCATTAGGAGAAATACCTAATGTAGATGATGGGTTGATGGGTGCAGCAAACCACCATGGCACATGTATAATAACTATGTAACAAAGCTGCACGTCCTGCACATGTACCCCGAACTTAAAGCATAATTTAAAAAAAAAGGTTTTCTAAGGAACCATTGAAAGAAACTGATCCTCTTCATCATACAAATATGTGTTGTCTTAAAAACATAATCTAACTACATAATTTTCTAATTGTGGGATAAAGAACTTCTCATTAAACAAATTTTCCTATCCCAAAATTAAGTTGCTGATATCCAATCCTTATCTTACTATCAGAATAATCATAGTATAATTAAGCACCATGATGTGTATTTTTCTTTTTACTTATAGTGTCTACTCCAGAAGTATTATTTTAAAGGCATTAAATTGCTTACTTTAAGAAGATGAAAGACATCTTGGCTCTCTGTTGAGTGAAGACTCCAAAGATGCTATTAAAAAGACACACAGAAACTAGAGAGCCTTTTAACAAAAATTAAACCAGCTTTGTTACAATTTCAAAAGACTAAAAAGACCTTGAGAATTTATCTGGAGAATATTCTTTTTAAGCAAGTTTTATTACAATGTACTAAATACTATTTATGTAATTTTGAATAGCTTATATGTAAAACCTTACACTTACCACATAACACAAATTAGAATTTGCAAATATTCCTCATGCCTTAAGTCAATCAACATTTCTGAATATCTATTAGATTTGAGACTCCAAACTCAATGCTGGCAACTAATTTAATAAGGTATGATCCCTGTTGTCAAGAAGCTAACTTTGGAAGGGCTAGATGATGCTGAAGGATCCAGTAACCTCTCCCCTGCCAGAAATGTTCAAAACCCCCATTTTGTCACATGATATGTCTGTGTAAAGTCCCCTGCATTGCAATATACATCTCTTCACAACTATCCTACCTCACAAGACTACTGAGTTCACGAAAGAGAAAGACCAGTTTTTAGGAGGAAAAATAAGACCACTATACTTAGAAAAAGGCAGTTCTTGGATGGTTTGTCAAGTAACTAAGTCCACATATTTGTTTTTCATATGTGTGTTGTGCGTGTGTGTATACACATAGATGTATATGCATCTATGAATATTTATGACTTCGAAAGGACAATATGCTGAGGAAATTGCGTTGTCTACCTGAGAACTGCTTTTATATTTAACTCCCTTTCTCCTTCACTTTCCCTGCCCCTCTCCCTACAAGAAGAATGTTAGTAAACATCAAACTCTTAAGGTAAAATGTTGATTCTAAGATCTTAATTTCTATAATAGATGAGCACTTCATTACAGTGAATGCTATGACAGAGATGTTACTGGACACTGGGTCCTACCAGTTATTTCTCTCTCATATCTTTATCTGTAAGTACACTCATTCACTGAGGGATCTACCAAGCAATGGAAGCCAAATCAACATACTGTAGGCCAAACGTATATGGAAAATAATTAGACAAAGGACTGAGCTTAGATATCTGGATGCTGATGAAAGACAGCTTGTTTAACCAAGCTTCTCTACATCTCCCACCACTGACCAGATCATCCGCAACACCAGTTGCCCACTTCTCTTTTTTTTTTTTTTTTTTTTTTACTGAGACAGAGTTTCGCGCTGTCGCCCAGGCTGGAGTACAGTTGTGTGATCTCAGCTCACTGCAACATCCACCTCCTGGGTTCAAGTGATTCTCCTGCCTCAGCCTCCCAAGTAGCTGGGATTACAGGAGTGGGCCACCACACCTGGCTAATTTTTATATTTTTGATAGAGATGGTGTTTCACCATATTGGCCAGGCTGGCCTCTAACTCCTGACCTCATGTGATCTACCTGTTCCAGGCTCCCAAAGTGCTGGGATTACAGGCATGAGCCACTTTGCCCAGCCCCACCTCTCCATATGAATATTAACTCATGGTATCAGAATTGAAACCCTGGGTTACTAATGTATTGACTTTCTTATTCCACATCACTCATTATGCAGGCTGTATAAAAGTAGGTAAGTTACCTCTGTATCTGGTATACACCTGAAGGGTAACAACAATTAGAATTCCTTGCATCCAGCAATCCTCAGAACAATACCATGATAGGTTGAAAAAAATCAGAATATTCATCATCTACCTCTCCAGTCTCATTGTAAAGAATTTAGTGAAAGAAGTATTTATTTCTATAAGAATTTGTTAGTAGAAATGTTTTTCCTCAACAAGTTCAGCAGTAAGTCACAATGGTATATGTCACATATGTTCCTACATTTCTGTCATCTGAAAAAATTTCTCTTCTATTTGATTCTTAAATTGTAATGGCTGAAGAAGCCAGGAGAATGATTGACAATATCTTCTTAAAAGGCTGCAAATTTCATGTCAAAATTTATTTTTTATTATAGAAAGTCAAGATCTTTAGAGTAGTATATTTAATGACAAAAAATATCTAAAATAATGTTTTTTCTTCCTAATATTAAAATAAAACTTGGTGATTATTGCAACTTATTTTTAGTGTACAGGAAAAACAAAATGTTTTCTTTTCTACTACAGTCTACTGACACCAGGTGCGGGGGTGTATCTCACACCAACCTGATCTCTTACTCTTCACACACCAACTGGATATCCTAAATTCAATTATGATACTACTTACTTGGAATTAGTGCAGACACTGTGGGTTAAGGGCTCAGTCTCAAAAGACTGGACTTCAGATACCAATTGCAAGTAGTGGGTAACCACACTTCTGTCCAACTTGGCTGCAAATTGGAGGTCCCCTTGACCCCTTCCTTGGGTTAAATAATTTGCTGTGATGGCTCACAGAACTCAGGAAAACACTTACTTCCATTTACAGGTTCATTGTAAAGGATACAGATGAACAGCCAGATGAAGAGGTGCATAGGATAAGCTCTAGAAGACCCCAGAGCACAGGGACTTCTGTCCCTCAAAGAATTGGGGTACACCACTCTCTCAGCATGTGGATGTGTTCACCAGCCTGGAAACTCTCAGAATCCCATAGTTTAGGAATTTTTATGGAGGCTTCATCATAGCATCATGATCAATTATTAACTTAATCTCCAGTGGTCTTCATTTCTTGGAGGATAGGTGTTGGGCTGAAAGTTCAAAGCTTCTAATCATGGCTTGGCCTCCTGGTGACCAGCCCTATCTAGGATCCCATCAAGAGTCACCTCATTTGGACAAAAGATGCTTCTATCACCCAGGAAATTTCAAAAGATTTAAAAGCTCTTGGTCAGAAACCAAGGTCAAAGACCAAATTTTAGAACAAAAAATGCTCCTAGCACCTCCGACACTTAGGCTATTGTAAGGGTTTTAGGAGCTCTGTGCTGGGAACTGGGGATGAAGATCAAATATGTATTTCTTATTATATCACAATATCACAGGCAATATTTTTATCATTCTAGAAGTTCCCATAATTGTTCTATGAACCAATAAGATTTGAGAAAAAGTTAAGGTTAAAACAAATAGGACTCCTCAGTACATGCTGTTCTGTATTATACAATATTCGCATTAGTGATTTTTATCTAACCAAAGAGTATCAGCTCTACCATATAAAATTATCTTCAGAGACTGACAAGTAGCACAATTTGGTTTTCATAGTTTAAACACAGATATTTACACTAACTTGAGATATCATTGGCACTTTTTTCAAAAATAAGCAATTTGTCTTTAAAAATAATCATAAAGATGACATATTATGGTGGGAAAAAGCATTCACAGTGTTCCAACATACTGACTGGGTATCCTTGGACAAGTATTTTAATCTCACTGCACTTTATTTTTCCTATTTGTAAATGAGGATAATACATGCATTTACGTATGATTATTATAATAATTAAATGAAATTGTGTGCATAAAGGACCAAACATATTATATAGTATTATATATATTTATATATAAAAACCTTATTTTAAAAAATAATACTAGTAATATTGCTAGAGATATAGTTCCCTTAAATTAACATAAAAAAATCAAATTTATAAGAAACAAATAACAGCATAATGTGCATTTTTTTCAACATTGCTCATACCTTTTCATTTTTCCTTAAGTTATTGGGGAACAGGTGGTGTTTGATTACACAGGTAAGCTCTTCAGTGGTGATTTGTGAGATTTTGGTGCACCCATCACTCAAGCAGTATACACTGCACAATATTTGTAGTCTTTTATCTCTCGCCCCCCTCCTACTCTTCCCAAGTCCCCAAAGTCCATTGTATCATTCTCATGTCTTTGCGTCCTCATAGCTTAGCTCCCACATATCAGTGAGAACATACGATGTTTGGTTTTCCATTCCTGAATTACTTCACTTAGAATAATAGTCTCCAGTCTCATTCAGATCACTGAAAATGCTGTTAATTCATTCCTTTTTATGGCTACATAGTATTCCATCATATACATACATATATATATATATATCTCACAGTTTCTTTATCCAATCATTGATTCATGGGCATTTGGGTTGGTTCCATGATTTGGCAATTGTGAATTGTGCTGCTATAAACATGCATGTGCAAGTATTTTTTTCAAATAATGACTTTTTTTCCTCTGGGTAGATACCCAGTGGTGGAATTGCTAGATCAAATGGCAGTTCTACTTTTAGTTCTTTAAAGAATCTCCACACTGTTTTCCATAGTGGCTGTACTAGTTTACATTCCCACCAGCAGTGTAGAGGTGTTCCCTGTTCACTGCATCCATGCCAACATCTACTGTGTTTTGATTTTTTTATTATGGCCATTCTTGCAGGAATGAGTTTTGTGGTTTTGATTTGCATTTCCCTGATCATTAGTGATGTTGAGCATTTGTTCATGTTTTTTGGTCATTTGTATATCTTCTTTTGAGAATTGTCTATTCATGTCCTTAGCCCACTTTTTGATGGGATTATTTGTTTTTTTCTCACTGATTTGTTTGTTTGTTATAGATTCTGGATATTAGTCCTTTGTCAGATGTATAGATTGTGAAGATTTTCTCTCATTCTGTGGACTGTCTGTTTACTCTGCTGACTGTTCCGTGCAAAAGCTCTTTAGTTTAATTAGGTCCCCGAGATTTATCTTTGTTTTTATTGCATTTGCTTTTGGGTTCTTGGTCATGAAATAATGTGCATTATTTTTAAATGCATTCCCCAAAAAGACTATTATACTGCAGGAATCCTTTACATTGGAGTCCTCCCATTCATTCACAAGATGGCTGGGTATATAAAACTACAGTTTTGTATATAGCAGAGTATAGTGGGAAAAGCAATAGCTTGTTGTCAGAGATTCAGGGTGCATTCTTACCAGCTTGTCATCTTAGGTAAGTTATTTAGCTCATCTGTCTCCATTTTCTTAATAGCAGAATTAGAATATTATCATCTACTTTCCAGACTGGAGGGAGGACTAAGGGTCTGGTCTATAGTACATGCTTAATACATTCCTTAAATTTTAGGAATTTATTTATTTTCTAAAGCAAGGTATATATCTGCTGTAGCACCACATAAAATAAATTTTGACTGAAAGGTATTTATATTTTAAACACAAGCTGCAAAATGCTTAACCCAGGCTGGGAATCTTGTAAACACTCAATAAACCTATATGAGTGATATTCATTATTCAAAACATATTTTATGAGCACCTCTCTGCAGGGTCTGTGCTAGGTATTAGAAGCCAATTCCTCTGATAAAGTCACAAATGGGAGCTGTCTTACAAGCTTTCTTTCCAGCTCTGTCTAGTACAATAAGAGACTTGATTGGCAAGAGCTAGTGCCCCCTTGACTTAGATCTGTGTTTCAGGAAAAGAGAAATAGTTAATTATTAGGAAAATAAAACAGGTGCCCAAAAGCCAGTTTTATTTATGCCGGTTGTCCTTGCCTGACTTCCCTCTTGCCGATTCATTTAATCCACTTCAACATGCCGATCAGAACACTGGGCTCATTCCGTTCCTTTAAGTATATAGTACAATAAAGTAGGAAACTTCATTCTACACAAAGCTTCAAAATTGATCTCCTTAAAACAACAGAGAAAACAATCATGAGATGGGCAAGAACAAATAAAAATGTCTCAAGGGTGAAATGTACTTTCTTAGATCCAAGCAAGCAAACATGTTTGCAGAACTCCATCTCAGAAACAAAATGTAATTGTGTTGACAAGGAATACTGTCTTATCTTTTTCCATATCATAAATGCTAAAAATGACCATACTTTTGAGAATTTGATTTGACAGCTCAAATTTTTAGAAATCAATGTTGCCATACCAGACTACCATTGCCTTAGGTGATCATACTAAAAAAAATTACAACTCTATGCTCCTATGTTATATAATAAATGTTTTGAATATTACAGGGTTTAACATACAGGATTTGAACTAAGCAAAAAGAAAATCAAGCCCTTCTTCCTCCAAGACACATTTATGGCGATGCAGTCTCTCAGCACAATTTGTACTATTGATACAAAAATGTTACTCCAGGCCTATACACCTAAAAAAAAAAGGAGTTTCAGACACCAGTTTTCCACCTTCTGCTATCAGTTCGTTAGTGAACACTCAAAAGAGTTTTTGCTTCCCCACATAACCTCACAACTGCAAAAGTCAGATAGTGAATATTCATTTGGTTATTTTCTCCTAGGTAGCATCTGAATATGAATCTCAGAGTCTGAGAGACACCATTTCAAATCCTGCTTCTGTCTTATATTCAGATAACTTCTCTGGATCTCAATTTTTTTCATCAATAAAAATGTCGATAAGAAAAATCTACCTAGTAGCATTGTCAAGAAGATGAAATAAAATAATTTACTTAAAGTCTTGGAACATAATAGACCCTCAATAAATGGTAGCTGTTATTATGGAGGAAACATTGGGTGAGATTATCAGTGCCTACCAAGATAGGTGATATGGTTTGGCTCTATGTCCCCACCCAAATCTCATCTCAAATTGTAATCCCTATGTGTTGAGGAAGGGACCTGGTGGGAGGTGATTGGATCATCGGGGTGTTTTCCCCCATGCTGTTCTCATGCTAATGAGTGAGTTCTCAGGAGAGCTGATAGTTTAAAAGTGTTTGGCAGTTCCCCCTTGCTCTCTCTCTCTTTCCTGCCACCTTGTGAAGAAGGTGCATGCTTCCTCTTCACCTTCCATTATGATTGTAAGTTTCCTGAGGCCTCCCCAGCCATGCTGAACTGTGAGTCAATTAAACCGCTTTCCTTTATAAATTACTCAGTCTCCAGTAGTTCTTTATAGCAGTGTGAAAACAGACTAATACAACAGGAGAGTGAGAACAAAGCTCTTCCATTGGAGCACCCAGAGCAGCCAAGCTCCTCCCTGGGGACTGAGGCTAGAAGCTTCACTAAGCTCAGCTGTGATGAAAAAGAAAGGCATAACAGAAAACTAGATAGACCTAGTCAAAACACACAACTTAATCAAAACATGAACACCTCCTTTCTGAACTTTCTAATTACATTTTAATTCCTTTTTCCATTTGCAATAGCCTGTCAGTCCTATCGTCCCTCCAAGGGGTAATAAAGATCCCTTTAATGATGCATAGCTATCTGGCTGATGATGCTTAACTGTTGCTAAGAAATACCACAAAAATAATTTTCCTTTTATGCAAATACCCAAATATATCCACGAATTAGTTTTCTCCTAACACAAAAATTATCATTCCACTGTTGAAACATTGAGATGGTCCAATGTGAATACAGAAATAAATCAAAAATATCATCTTTTTATTGATAAAGACTATATATCTGAGATCATAGTTTAATATAGAAGACAAATTGGCTTGCTAATTGAGCCCATTGTTAAGCAGATTGACCTAACTAATAACAGGCAATGCTCAGCAAAAGCAGGTAAGACTTAAGCATAGAGGAGCTGAAGAGAACTACTCCATGAAGACAGCTTAACTACAAGAGAAAAAAAAGCAGCAGCTGAGCTGGGCACACTCAGTTTATCCTTCCAAATTGATATAAGTTACTTCTGGGCAGAGAATAAAAGGCAAGGAGAGTAGCCAGTATTGCCACATTAATACTGTGCTCCCTTAACTGAGAGAAAACTTCAGGAATAAGGGAAGAAACAGTCTCCCCTAACATCCACAACCAGAAAATAAACTGAAAAACCTAAGAAATATACAGCATTTATCCTTTGCCAAACAGTGGGGTCAATTCCCAAAAGGTGGCATTACAAAAGTTAAAATTCTATTTTAACATACCCTTAAGCATAATAATCAAAGTTCTGGAAGATACTTGCATCCCATAAGCAAACCATATTATAAGAACTGTCTCCAGTAGAACATCTTGCACTTGGGTCCGAGTCTTAATCATTCAGGACATGCTATTGCTGTGTGTTAGGGCTCCAAAAGGCTAGACAAATCCCTTCTCTTAATGAGTTTGCTTTATTTTTCCAGAAGCACCAGGCAAGAATCTCAATACATTTGAAGCAATTTTAGAAATGTACACAGATACCTACCAGATAGGAATCAAAATGCCTACGTTTCTACTGCTAGAGCTGGAATAAAAATGTAGCTTGGAAAGACAAATGTCACATGCCCTCATTCACATGTGAAATCTAAAACAAACAAACAAAAAAAGTTGTCTCCTAGAAGCAGAGAGTGGAACAGTAGTTACCAGAGACTGAGGAGGGGAGGAAGGAGGGGAGAATGTGGAGAAGTTGGACAACAGGTACAGTTACAATTAGATGGGAGGAATAAGTTCTGCTGTTCTATTGCACAATAGGGTGACTATGGTTAACAGTAAGGTATCGTATATTACAAAACAGCTAGAAGAGAGGCTGTTGGGTGTTCTCACCACAAAGAAGTGACAAATGTTTGAGGTGATGGACGTGCTAAATACCCTGATTTGATCATTATACAACATGCACATGTATAAAAACATTAAATTATACCCCCATAAATATGTACAATTATAATGTTTTCATTTAAAAATTAGTTTTTGAAAAAGGAAATATTAGTTAGATCTGTTTCCAAAATTAAGCTTCCTATTTTTCCCACACTGAATCTAGCCACCCCAAACTGCATATGTCCTTTCCACAGGTCCAAAGCCTACCCAGGTAATTATCTGTATGGAGGCAGAAAAATGAAAGAAGAAGCACTCAGCACCTTCACCCAGAGAAGTAGGACAGACCACGTTGTTAGAGAGACATTTAACTCTGTATTCCCTCTCAGAAGGGAAAGTTAACTCATGTTGTCAGATCCTTGCCATCTCATCAAGAGATAAATCATTCAGCTTTGCACATAGAGGAATTAGTGAAAAGTACAAGGCAGCATAGAAGCCCCCTCCCCTATACTTTCAAAGGACAAATTATGGAGAGAAGGAAAAAATCATTTTCCCTTATACATTGTGGTGATCTGTAAAGACAGATTCTGCTCCAATATTGCCTTTTGTGGTAGATGTGAATTTCAGCCCATATTTTCATCTGTCTGAAAAATATAACTTGTTTGGTTTTTCTACAATTCATCATAATTCCCTTTCTAAGAATAATGTGACCATTATCCCAATTTGCCAATGACAGTTCCACTTTACACATGCTATCCAGGTATAATTATCAATAGTTTCCCTTTTCACCCTCAAGGGTCCCAATCTGGACAACAATTGAAATGGTCTTGCTAATAATATGTCTGTCCTAACAGGTAGTAGAAACTTAATCCCAGGGGCTTCCTCGCTTTATCTTAGTGTGACCTGGGCATCTGATGGGTCTCTTTGTCTTTGGTCTTCAGGTGTCACCCCATGCAGGCTGCCAGGCTGCCATTTCTTTGCCCTCAATCTTATCAGAAACAGGTCCCAGAGTTGAGCTTTCTCTGTTATGCTACTTCAGGTGCAGGGGAGTCACCATGAAGCTCCCCACACTGTGCTGGCACAAAAGAAATTAAGAAGATGTCAAAAGCCCTGTGTCACTTTGACACCTTCATCCAGCACACAGAAAGGAGTCTACTGTCCATGTGTCACACTGGGCCCACTGTGGTCCCAGGCTCCTTGCATGGGAATCCTTCTCCCATTCATGCCTTTCACTGCAGCACGGGAAATGTTGTAAAACTGTTTCCTAGGTCTTGCTGTTTCTTTAGGCTCCATCAGGAATGGGGCACGGCATGTCCTTGCCTCTCCCAGGTCCACCAGAACATCTAGGGCTTTTTATTTGCTTCTCCCACCTCCAATATAGAATGGCCCAAGAAGGCAAAGCACAGGACCTAGTAATTGGCAATCAGTAAGTATAGTTGATTATCCTCACTAAATCTCCATTTCATCATCTATAAAGAGGTAAAATAGAATCTATTTTACTAGCTTGTAGTGAAGTTCAAATAAGTCAACACTTATCAAAAGGAAATTGCAAAGTATATTTAAATACTACTATTTTTTCTTCTGACTATGAGTTCTTTGAGGGAAGTGACCGTGTTTTAGTCTTTATTCTTACCCTCTCACATAGTAACTTGTGTATTGTGAGCTCAAATAATGTTTTCAGTAAAATGATTACCTAAAACATACATAAGACAAGCTTATAACATAGTAGAAAACATTTATTTTCCACCAAAGTAAGTAGAAATGATATCATGTAGGCATTTTACATCCCCTAGTATTTAACATAGTAGTAAGCCCACAAAAGGCAGTAGAGAATATTTATGGAGTAATTCATTCACTTTATCAAAATATGTTTAACTGGCTACCTGTGGCTCTTAAAGCAAGAATATAACTTCAAAAATGTGTTTTGCAGAAACAAGAAGAAAATCAAGTTCAAAAAGTCACCATAATAGTCTCAAAATATTATTTCCAGATATGGAATGAAGGAAATATATTATATTAGGTTAAAACTGTGTCAAGGAGATCCAACAATACAGTGGCAAGAAAACACTGTAAAGGAAGGCATTTCTCTCTCACATTCCAGAAAGTTCCAGCTGGCTGCTCTGCTTCATGCAGTCATTCAGGGGTCCAGGTTCTTTTCATTTTGGGTCTCAGGGATCCCCTGGGACACTGTCCTTGTGTACTTGGTAGAGGCTGAATCACAGCATGTTTGTAGGGAGGGAATAAAGCCCAGAAACACCCCCGCCATTTCTGTTCACATTCCATTGACGAGAACTGAAGTCATGTGACCATGCCTCACTGCCAGGGAGACTGGGGAAAACGAGAGTTGCTTTGGTGGGCAATCAAGAGATCCAATCATAATAATAAAGACACTTTTGTCCCAAATGGGTTAACTTAGAAAAACAATATAACCAAAACAACACCTTTGCAGATCAGGAAGGCAGAGCTGTCAATGTCCCTCTGTACAATGTATTTGTATCTGCTCAATGTAATTAATCCAAATTATATAGTATATAGTTAGTAGGCAATAGACATTTATTTCAAGTTTGAAAAAAAATAATAGAAGCCACAAGTCTCTCTAGTCAATCAGAGAGAGCCAAAAGTCATGATAAACAATTTTGTTTAACTTAATCTAAGACTTACTAAAAATGAGAGAAGAGAAACAACTAATTGAAAATATCTTTTTTCAAAATCCATTTTAGTTAGGATTCCTAATTTAAAGTAGTTTATAAAAATGGACACCAAAACAAAGGAATGAGCAAAATATTAATAATAAATCAATTAAAATAACAAGTGTTAGGCCTCTGAGCCCAAGCTTAGCCATCATATCCCCTGTGACCTGCATGTATACATCCAGATGGCCTGAAGCAAGTGAAGAATCACAAAAGAAGTGAAAATGGCCAGTTCCTGCCTTAACTGATGACTTCCCACCATTGTGATTTGTTCCTGCCCCACCTTAACTGAGCGATTAAGCTTGTGAGATTCCTTCTCCTGGCTCAGAACCTTCCCCACTGAGCGCCTTGTGATCCCCCCCACCACCCACCTGCAAGAGAAAAACCCCTTTTGACTGTAATTTTCCACTATGCACCCAAATCCTATAAAACAGCCCCACCCCTATCTCCCTTTGCTGACTCTCTTTGCGAACTCAGCCCACCTGCACCCAGGTGATTAAAAAGCTTTATTTATCACACAAAGCCTGTTTGGTGGTCTCTTCACACGGACGCACATGAAATTTGGTGCTGTGACTTAGATCAGGGGACCTCCCTTGGGAGATCAATCCCCTGTCCTCCTGCTCTTTGCTCCATGAGAAAGATCCACCTACAACCTTGGGTCCTCAGACCAACCAGCCCAAGGAACATCTCACCAATTTTAAATCAGGTAAGCGGTCTCTTTTTACTCTCTTCTCCAACCTCTCTCACTATCCCTCAACCTCTTTCTCCTTTCAATCTTGGCACCACCCTTCAATCTCTCCCTTCTCTTAATTTCAGTTTCTTTCCTTTTCACTAGAGACAGATGAGACTCATTTTATCCGTGAACCCAAAACTCCGGCACCAGTCATGGACTCAGGAAGACAGTCTTCGCTTGGTGTTTAATCACTGCGGAGACACCTGGTTGATTATTCACTCACATTTCAGAGGTGTCTGATCACCGTGGGGGCGCCTGCCTTGATCCTTCACCTCAGTGGCAAGTACCACTTACCTGGGGGGCAAGCACCCCTCACCCCTTCTCTCCATGTCTCTACCCTCTCTTTTCTCTGGGCTTGCCTCCTTCACTATGGACAACCTTCCACCATCCATTCCTCCCTCTTCTCCCTTAGCCTGTGTTCTCAAGAACTTAAAACCTCTTCAACTCACACCTGACCTAAAACCTTTCTCCTTATATCATCTCAACTCCCCCCATATTTGGACCTCTCACAATGCAAACTACTATTCCTGTGGCCACTCCTTTATGTATCTCTTGGCAAAGACCCACTAGAATCCCCCTGGGTAACCTTTCACCTTCTCGATGTTCCTTCACTCTTCATCTCCAAAGCCCAACTACACACATCACTGAAACAATTGGAGCCTTCCAGCTCCGTATTACAGATAAGCCCTCTGTCAATACTGGCAAACTTAAAAACATTAGCAGTTATTATTGCTTAGGAAGACACTTACCCTGTATTTCACTCCATCATTGGCTACCTTCCCCTTACTCGTCAGACTCTCCTCCCAGGCCCTCTTGTTGTTTATTTGTACCCAGCTCCATAAATAACAGTGAAAGGTTGCTCATAAACACTCAATGTTTTCTTATGCACCATGAAAATCAAACCTCCCCCTCTACGCAGTTACCTCATCAGTCCCCATTACAACCTCTGATGGCTGCTGCCCTAGCTGGATCCCTAGAAGTCTGGGCACAAGACACATCTTTTAGTACTCCTTCTCATCTTTTTACTTTGCATTTCCAGTTTTGCCTTGCACAAGGTCTCTTCTTCCTCTGTGGATCCTCTACCTACATGTGGCTACCTGCTAATTGGACAGGCACATGCACACTAGTTTTCCTTACTCCCAAAGTTCAATTTGCAAATGGGACTGAATAGCTTCCTGTTCCCCTCATGACACTGACATGACACAAGAGAGTTATTCCACTGATTCCCTTGCTTGTCGGTTTAGGACTTTCTCCCTCCACTATTGCTCTCAGTACTGGAATAGCAGGCATTTCATCCTCTGTCACGACCTTTCGTAGCCTCTCTAATGACTTCTCTGCTAGCATCACAGACATATCACAAACTCTATCAGTCCTTCAGGCCCAAGTTGACTCTCTTGCTGCATTTGGCCTCTAAAACCACCGAGGCCTTGACTTACTCACTGCTGAAAAAGGAGGACTCTGTATATTTTTAAATGAAGAGTGTTGTTTTTACCTAAATCAATCTGGCCTGGTGTAAGACAACATAAAAAAACTCAAGGATAGAGCCCAAAAACTCATCAACCAAGGAAGTAATTATGCTGAACCCCCTTGGGCACTCTCTAATTGGATGCCATGGATCCTCCCAATTCTTAGTCCTTTAATACCTGTTTTTCTCCTTCTCTTATTTGGACCTTGTGTCTTCCATTTAGTTTTTCAATTCATCCAAAACCATATCCAGGCCATCACCAATCATTCTATACGACAAATGCTCCTTCTAACAACCCCACAATATCACCCCTTACCGCAAAATCTTCCTTCAGCTGAATCTCTCCCACTCTAGGTTCCCATGCCACCCCTAATCCCACTTGAAGCAGCCCTGAAAAACATCACCCATTATCTCTCCATACCACCCCCAAAAATGTTCACTGCCCCAACACTTCAATACTATTTTATGGGGTTTTTTTATTGATATAAGAAGACAGGAATGTCAGGCCTCTGAGCCCAAACTAAGCCATCATATCCCCTGTGACCTGCATGTATACATCCAGATGGCCTGAAGCAAGTGAAGAATCACAAAAGAAGTGAAAATGGCCAGTTCCTGCCTCAACTGATGACATCCCACCATTGTGATTTGTTCCTGCCCCACCTTAACTGAGCAATTAACCTTGTGAGATTCCTTCTCCTGGCTCAGAACCTCCCCCACTGAGCAGCTTGTGATCCCCGCCTCTGCCTGCAAGAGAAAAACCCCCTTTGACTGTAATTTTCCACTACCCACCCAAATCCTATAAAATGGCCCCACCCCATCTCTCTTCACTGACTTTCTTTTTGGACTCAACCTGCCTGTACCCAGGTGATTAAAAAGCTTTATTGCTCACACAAAGCCTGTTTGGTGGTCTCTTCACACGGACATGCATGACAACAAATACTTACAGAGTATTTAAAATAATAATGCATTATCATTCATTCATATTTACCCTTGTTAATGAAGCATGGGGAAACTAACCAAAAGAAAAGTAAAAATATTCCATCTTAAGGATTTTTGTGCCTTTTCATCCTACTCTCCGAGTGAGATTAATAGAACGTTCAGTATCCATATAACGAGCAGAAAAATGGGCTAATACTCAAAACAGATTGTCAGTCCTTAAATAATGCCCAAATACTAGAATATATATTTCTTTCAACATTATCTTTTTAAACCCTAAAAAAAGCCATTTAAGTATTTGAAATTTGGAAAAATATAGAATGTTATTATAAAAACAATTCGTAAATATATAGTAAGCTTTCATTTTTAGCATGCTTATAACGAGTTGCATTTACATTCACAACATTTATCAATCTAACAAATAGTCACAAATTTTGGTTCTAAGTTCTTTCTCCTATGCAAAATAATTTTTATAATCATTTAATAAAGCAAAAGGATTTTTTAAATTGGGAATTTGCCATACAAGTTCAGGCTCTATTCTGTAAAGATGATACTTAAAATGTCTATTCACTTTCAGCACCGTTGTAATAACTACACGTGACTGGTGAGGTCACCTGATTCAGATAACCTTCATTAACAATAGTTGATACATACATGCTTTTGACTTAGAACCAGTGCCTGGCACATGGCAGGCACACAGTAAATAAAATTCTTATTATTCTCAGTATTACCATATACCTAAAGCAACAGAACATGCTCTAATGACAACTAATCACACTTTCCTAAAATATTAGTGAAATCCATAAAAGGACAACATCTTTTCTAACCCTGGTTAGAGACATTTATCACTTTCATGGCCTTTATTTTTATGATCCACTTTAGTCCACCTCAAACTGGTCTCTGTACAAAAACTGTCATTGCCATTATCCTTAGCAAACCAACACAGGAATGGAAAACCAAATACTGCACATTCTCACTCACAAGTAGAAGCTAAATGATGAGAACATGGATGCTTAGAAGGGAACAACACACACTGGGGCCTTTTGGAGGGTAGAGAGTGGGAGGAGAGAGAGGATCAGGAAAAATAACTAATGGTACTAGGCTTAATACCTGGGTGATGACATACGTTTACCTATGTAACAAACCTGCACATGTACCCTGAACTTAAAATAAAAGTTAAAAAAAGTCATTGTCTAAGTAGTCTCTGTTCACAAATGCTTAAAATTCTATAAAGAACAGACTCTTCCTTAACTGTCCTTCTAGCTCGCAACCTTTTAACTACTGTAGACACCTCCACTGTGATCAAATAAAATGGAGTCCTCTGTGGCTGCCTGTTATAAGCACTTTTGCTCTGAGTCTTTGGAAAGGGATTTTTGTTGTTGTGTTTTTAATACACTTGGCATAACAAAAAAATAGTCTCCGCTTTTGTTGTACTATGGGGTAGAAATCTTAGTTCATGGTCAAGTGTAAAAAATTATAATTTTATATTGTAACTAATCTTTTGTGTCACATCATGACACACGAAAAAAATATAGCCTCCCTAAAACTAGAGCTTTTCTTCTTTTGCCAAGTGACAAATAAGGTCCAATGAGAAGGGAGTGTTTACAGCACCCAGCCTTTGGCAGCTGATGTATTGAGGGGAAAAAGATTTCTATCTAATTTTTTTTTAATCAAACTCATTTAACTGCCAGATCTAGCCAATTTTCAATGTCACATGACCACAAGAGTATCTCTAAGGTGTAAGTCATCCCATCTTGTCCTTGATATTTAATATACAAAGGTAGCTCTGAAACATCCTTTAGTTCTACCTGTCTGGTCCCCTCAGGAATCTTCTTGTTTCTTTCATCAGTGATGCACCTGAGGCCATGGGAATCTGCAAGGCAAACAAAAGTTTTATTTCCTCAGATGTAACCCTGCTGCCTCTGCTCCCAGGCTCTTCCCAGTAAGGTGGGTGTGGGGTCCCTCTCAGTCAGGTCTACCAGTATCCATACACTCATCACCTCCCCTTAGTCTCTCTTCTTCCCACCAGCTTAGCAGGAACTCCTTTCTCCTGAGTTGCTCCTCACAAATATGTGCTGTGTTCTAATTTGTGGGCTCCTTCCCACTCCCACATGGGGGTGTGGGCTTTTAGAAAAGGAAAGCCAGGAGGCCTCCAGTTCCTCAGGAAACAGACACTAAGGTGGAGATGCAGGAAGTGCTCTCAGGAACAACACCTGTAAGGAAAAGAGAGAAGCAGAATTGAGAAAAGGGGGAAGTTCGACAAGGATGTAATTGCAACAGAGGACACAGCTGATCTTACAGACAGCAATGAAGCAGGTGTGGCTCTTCAGAGATGCCCCAAACTGAAGCCAACGCTGAACCTAATAAACCCCCTCACCAGTAAATCACTGGCTAAGTGCTGCTGGATAAGTGCTTCCCTAAAGAGGAATGTGACCTTGGACAAGGCTGCTCCTTTCAGTCATGGGCAACTCCTGGAATCATGGGTAGGTTACACTCCTACCGGCTGAGATAATAAGTGTCTCAGTCCTGAAGTGGGGGTCAAGGTTGCTCACCACAGTATCCACTACACCAGAGATTCTCAAACTTCAGCTGGATCAGAATCACATGGAGGCATTGTTAAAACAGATGGCTAGGCTCCATTCATTAGGTCTGGATCGGGGCTGGAGCATCTGCATTTCTAACAAGTGTCCAGGTACTTCTGATGCTGCTCTTTTAGGTAACCCTTCAAGATCTGCTGCACTCCAGTATTCTAGGCTTATTCCACCAATTTTCCTTCAACAGAGTAAAGAACACCTTAAGTGTGCAGAAGTCCAAAGAAGAGAAACAAAATAGAGGAAAACTGGAGGACGAGAATCTGTTAATATATTTTTTAATATACTGTTCTGCCACATTCGCTGAGTTAATACTTCTTTTTGTTACTATGTTGGAGTTCTTTATTCTATACTTAGTTCCTTTTTCTTTACTTTCTCCCACTAATTAAACGAGTTTTTTTTTCTATGATTATTTCTGGCATTTCCTTGTCAAATTTTCCCCAGCCTGGCAGTGAAAACTCCCAATGTTGCCTCATTCTGGTTTACTGACTCATTCAGAAATTGTTGATTCTGGGCCTATAGTTTCATTTATTATAAATCTGGATCCACTCGTGTGAAAAAGCTATATGCAATTTAACTATTATCTTCACCAGTGTAAGTTCTGGTAGCATCTAAAGGTAGGAAAAAACACACTCTCAAACCCTGGGTGGAAAAGGGCTGGGTGATCTGCAAGTGCTTCTGTAAATGACAGAATGACCCCTAAATCAATAACAAGGTTTGCAAACAAGCACAATACAATACCACAGTGTCTGTTAACTAAGCACTTATCACA
Organism: Homo sapiens; assembly: GCF_000001405.40. Taxonomy (NCBI): domain Eukaryota; kingdom Metazoa; phylum Chordata; class Mammalia; order Primates; family Hominidae; genus Homo; species Homo sapiens. The sequence goes on along the minus strand of NC_000012.12, from coordinate 33,084,482 downwards.
CACTGTGGCCATAATTTTGCAATTTGAAGTACAACAGCAAAACTAGCATGAGTATATTTTTCCTTCTTTGCAATTTCATGGATAGATTTGTTTTTACCATAGACCTTAGCAACCACAGCATATGATTTTTTTTGTCTTTCCTTCTTGAGAACTTTCACCTTCTCACTTAAAGTTAACACTCAATGGCTTCTCTTTGGTGTATCTACATTCTCAGCATCATTACTTTTGTGCTTTGGGGTCGTTACCCCATCAGATCAGGGTTCCTTGACACAAGCACTGCAATACAGCAACAGGTGCTCTGATAAACCAGATGGCTACTAAGCAATTTACAGGGTGGGTGGAGCATAGACAGCGTGCAGATGCTGGACAAAGGGAGGACTCACATCCTGGGAGGGACAAAGTGGGACGGGGTGAGATTTCATCACCCTACTCAGAACATAGCATGATTTATAAATTATGAATTGTTTATTTCTGGAATTTCCCATTTAACATATTCAGACAATAGTTGACTGCAAGTAACTAAAGCTGTAGAAAGTAAAACCTCAGATAAGGAGAGGGACTACTGTATACATTTTTCTGGGTGTCATAGCTAATGAGTGACATGAAATTTGAAAATTTTTCATAATTCAAGATTTTTATTTTTTTATTTTTTAATTTATTTTCTTTATTTAGACAGAGCCTCATTCTGTCACCAGGCTGGAGTGCAATGGTGCAATCTCAGCTCACTGCCACCTCCACCTTTTGGGGTTCCAGCAATTCTCCTGCCTCAGCCTCTCAAGTGGCTGGGATTACAGGTGCCCACCACCACACCCAGCTAATTTTTGTATTTTTAGTAGAGATGGGGTTTTACCTTATTGGCCAGGCTGGTCTCGAACTCCTGACCTCAGGTGATTGGCCCACCTTAACCTCCCAAAGTGCTGGGATTACAGGCATGAGCCACCATGCCCAGCCCCATAATTCAAGATTTTTAAAGAACATCTATGAGAAAATAATGTCTATAAGAAATATTTTTAAAATTCAGGTTTTAAGGGTTAAAATTAAAGTGTAGGGATGACTTTTACAATCTTCTTCAAAGATGTCAAGGGCATCTGTCTTAGTCACCTCAAGCTGCTACAATAAATCCCCATAGTCTGGGAGGCTTAAGCAACAGAAATTTATTTTCCACAGTTCTGGAAGCTGGAGGTCTGAGACTGGGTGTGAGCAGGTGCAGGTCTGGTGAGGACCCTCTTCCAGGCTGCAGGCTGCCCTGACTTTTCACTGTATCCTCACTTGGAGGAGAGAGAGCTAGAGAACTCTCTGGGGTCCCTTTTATAAGGGCACTAATCTCATTCATAGTGGCTCCACCTTCTTAATTACCTCCCAAAAGCCACACCTTCTAGTATCATCTCATTGGGGGTTAGGATTTCAACATATATATTTGAGGAGGTCACAAACATTTCATCCATAACAGCATCTAAGGGGTAAGAGTGAGAGGAGGGGAAAGAAAGCCAGGATAAATACTCAATATCTGCTAAGAAACAAGGGACAATATAAACTAAAATGAGAAGTTTTCCTACCTAGCAGACAGTTCAACATTCATTGGGCACCCAAAAAAAAAAATCATATTCTCTATTTTCCTGGGGATCTTAAAAAACAAAACAATATCATATTTTAAAACAGGATTAGGGGTGGCCCTATCAGGAGACAGGTTAGTAGAATAGATGACCTGCTAAGTTCCCTCCCCACCCTAAGATTTTGTCTTTTATGATCACAGTTAGAGACATTCTGCTGGGCAAAATTGATTTTTGGCAAAGGACATATCTCCAAAGAGCCATTTTTCATGGCTTTATATACAATTTTTATTGATGCCATAATCTTCAAAGACTGAAGAGATGGCTACCATACAATCAAAATTCTTAGGCTGCTCTAGCTGTTTGCATAGAAAGATTTATATTTCTGTGATATCTTAAAGTTAATTCATTGTGACCCCAATCTAACATATATTATATAGAATATTGTTAGCAATAAAAATATGAGGCCACAGTAATGTAAATTTGGAGTATAGCCCTACCCAAAAATATTTGAAAATGCTATCACATAAAATTTTATTTTTCTCATATTAGCTTATTTTCACTCACAGGGTTTTATAAGGATCAGGTTAATCAATAGAGAAAAAAAAAACCTGAAAGGGCTGGACTCACTCAAAGAAAAAAATTCTAGGATATCATGTGTATACTTTTGCCATCCTAAAATATAGATCGTAACCAAAGTACAGGATGCTGGAATGAAGAATAGAAACCTGAAGACGTGAAAGAGATACCAAGGATATAAATTCTCTCAACCTGGAAATTCTCTTGAGCTCTTTTCTACGCATCAAAATTATATTGTACTACTAAAGTCCAGTTAAAATATCACCTTGTCTTGGAAGCCCTCTACTACTCCTACAATCTTATGATGGAACCAGTCAGATAGCCCTGAATTTCAATCCTAATTTCAAATACTACATATGTAAGCTTGGATATTTTACTTAATATCTATTAACCTCAAAATAAAATTGGCACACATATGGTTGTGAGAACATCTACCAGTGTCAGAGACAGTATAAGTATTCATTTAACATCAGTCATCTCCCCCAAACTGTTGGAATGTATTGTTTTTATATTTCTGATGGCAATTACTTTATTCTCCTTGACAAAATACTATTGCTAACATGTCTGCATATAGTGTATAAATATAATTCCCTTAGGACCAAGTACCGTGCTTTGGTCATATTTACAAATTCTTGATGACTAATATGATATGGTACTGTCATATAATTGGTACCAACAATATGTATGTATCAGACATATTTTTCTTAATCTCTAAAGCTCAAAAAACACTATCCAACATGTCTAAATATACTAGAAATGTTTTTAATAGCAAAAAGTTTTCATCATGATCTCACCCTCTGGCATAAATTAAAGTTCTATGCAAACAAAAAATTATTAGCAAAAACTGAGGACAAGCTGTCATTTTCTAAAATGTACTGCCATTCATAATCTGAGCTGATTTCAGGGAAAACATGGATGAAAGAGATAAGAAAAGTAAAGAGTGTCAAGACTATATGGAGAGAAAAAAGTTAATTCTGGCTATTATTATTATTTTAATATTATATCTAACACAAATTAAGTATGTATGATCAGAATTTTAAAATTAGGGCAGTGCAAGAAAAAAGAACTCACAACACAAAGACAAACTGCCTTTACCAATTTGGTGAATTTCCTTTCAGTACATGCTTTGCTTATTTCTGATCATACTGTATAAATGATGTCTGTCCTTTTTGTTGTTGTTTATTCAACAAAATATATAATAAGAATTTTTTATGTTATTACAAACTCTTTCAAAACATTAATTTATTTGTTGTCAAATATGCCCTTGTGTGTACATATAATAATTATATAATCATTCTCTTTTATTGGGAGCTCTTTAAGCTCTAAATTTTTATTTTATACTCATTTAAAGAATTTTTTTAAAAATATAGTTACCGTATTGAAATTTAAACAGTAGATTGGTCTAAATGATACCATCAAAAGAGCTTAAAATATTCAACAAATTACTTTACCTAATAAAGTATTAAGAATTATTTCATCTAGTTGGTTAAAGGACACAAAATTTCAGTTAGATGGGGGAATAAGTTCAAGAGATCTATTGTACAACATGGGTTAATGTAATGTGTGTGTGTATATATATATATATATATATATATATATATATATATATATATATATATATATATAACATATTTTAGACAGAGTCTCACTCTGTTGCCCAGGCTAGAGTGCAGTGGCACAATCTTGGCTCACTGCAACCTCCGCCTCCTGGGTTCAAGCAATTCTCCTGCCTCAGCTTCCCAAGTAGCTGGAACTGCAGGTGTGCACCACCACACCCAGCTAATTTTTATATTTTTAGTAGAGACGAGGTTTCACCATGTTGGTCAGGCTTGTCTCGAACTCCTGGCCTCAAGTGACCTACCTGCCTCAGCCTCCCAAAGTGCTGGGATTACAGGCATGAGCCACTGCACCCAGCCTATCATATTTTTGAAAATTGCTAAGAAAAAAGATTGTTAAGTATTCTACCCACAAAAAAATGATAAATATGTGAGGTAGTACATATGTCAATTAGCCCAACTGAACCATTTCACACTGTATACATATTTCAAAACATCATGTACACAATAAATATGTGCAATTTTTGTCCATTGAAATAAATTTTTCAAAGAATTATTTTATCTACACATAAAAAGTAGCTGATGAGTTGTTTTAAAATAAATGTATGGTTATTTTATAGACCAAGCCTAAGGCTGCAACCACAAAAGTCAAAAGTTTACAGATTATACTCCATTATTTTGTCCTTATTAGGGAAGGAATGGAAAAGCAAGAATGGGGGTTAAAGATGTAAGGTACTATTAGAACACAAATCACTATCTATTATAAGTCTTTCTTTTAAAAACTATCTGATATGTTTTTTGTTTGTCTGTTTGTTTGTTTTGAGACAGAGTCTCGCTCTGTCGCCCTGACTGGAGTGTAGTGGCATGAGCTCGACTCACTGCAACCTCCACTCCTGGGTTCAAGCGATTCTCCTGCCTCAGCCTCCCTAGTAGCTGGGACTACAGTCACATACCACCATGCCCACCTAATTTTTGTATTTTTAGTAGAGATGGGATTTCACCATGTTGGCCAATCTGGTCTCCAACTCCTGACCTAAGTGATCCACCCACCTCAGCCTCCCAAAGTGCTGGGATTATAGGAGTGAGCCACTGCACTTGACTCTGATGTGTATTAAAGGTGATAGAAACAAAGTGGCAGCTAAACACTGAATACATATGGACACAAAGAAGGAAACAACAAACACGAGGGTCTACTTGAGGGTAGAGGGAGGAAAGTGAGGATCGAAAAACTACCTTCGGGTACTATGCCTATTACCTTGGTGGTAAAACAATCTGTACACCAAACCCCCATGACACTCAATTTATCTATACAACAAACCTGCACATGTACTCCTGTGCCTAAAATAAAAGTTAAAATTGTTTTTAAACAAAATAAACAAATTGATAGAAACCAAGACTGAAGAATGAACCAATGCTTGGCATGCTCAAAAACCATAAGTGATTTATTTGGTAACTTAGTTGAATATGCTTTCCTCAGCTCAGTCTTAAGGCCCTCCAAGATGTGACCTTAGCTATTTTCTCTGACCTCATTCTCTATATGTGCCCTATCCATACTCTTCAGTCCAATTTAAAAAAAGAAAAAATATTTCACATTTCCTGACATGATCCAGGCCTTCTCACTCTCATCCCTATGTGTTGAAACTTTATCCTTCCCTTCTTTTAATGCCCACTTCAAACATCATTTTCTGCTTTATGCCATTTCTAATATCTCTTGTGGGTTGTGGTTTTTCCTTCCTTTAAACCCTTACAGTACTTTTCTTCTCTTCTATAGCACTTAGCTTCCTGCATGCAGCCTTGTAATATAGTTGAGTCTGTATTTACCATCCCTGATAGAATTGCAAGATCTTAGGGTAAAAACTTCGTTGAATAGAATATTGGTTCTTTATCTTCCCATTAGTTCTTATTTAATATTTAGAGTATAATTATTTAATACCTACTATGCTGAAGGTCCTGTGCTGGGTCACAAAAAAATAAAATAAAGTGGAAACACATAGGCCCTATCACAGGGCATAGCAAAAGCACAAAGCAGCATACATTGGAGGACATGAGATGTAGTGTTCTGGGTAGAAGGAACAGAGTCAAGAAAGAACATGGAGTTAAGAGAGTTAAGTGCGGTGATTTCAAAGAGCTGAAAGGAATACAACAGGACTGAAGCATAAAACAAAGGTGATGAGCATGGAAATTATAGGTAGGGCCAGATCATCATGGATTCAACCCAAATGCCCTCATGGAATCAACCCAAATGCCCATCAATGACAGACTGGATAAAGAAAATGTGGTACATACACACCATGGAATACTATGCAGCCATAAAAAGGAACAAGATCATGTTTTCTGCAGGGACATGGATGGAGCTGGAAGCTGTTATCCTCAGCAAACTAACACAGGAACAAAATACCAAATACCACATGTTCTCACTTATAAGTGGAAGCTGAGCAATAAGAACACATGGACACAGGGAGGGGAACAACACACACTGGGGCCTGTCAGGAGGTGGGGTGGGGGAAGGGAGAGCATCAGGATAAATAGCTAATGCATGCTGGCCTTAATACCTAGGTGATGGGTTGACAGGCGCAGCAAACCACGATGGCACACGTTTACCTGTGTAACAAACATGCACATCCTGCACATGTACCCCAGAACTTAAAATAACAATAAATTTTCTTAAAAATAAAAGAACATTATAATAGAATTGCTCAAAACAAATGACAGAGAGAAAATCTTAAAACAGCAAGCAACAAGACACATTGTAACAAGATAAGAATTTGAGTCAATTTCTCTTCAAAAATAATGCAAGTGAAAAAAAATGGATCACATTTTCAAAGTACTAAAAAGAACTGTCAAACTAGAATTCTTAGCCCCCCAAAAATCATTTCAATACAGGAATGACTCAGAGATAGTGCAGGTTCAATTCCAGACCACCACAATAAAGCAAATATCACAAAAAAGTAAGTCACACAAACTTGTTGGTTTTCTAGTGCACATAAAAGTTATGTTTATACTATCCTGTACTCTGCTAAGTCTGCAATAGCATTATGTTCTTTTAAAACCAAAGATCTTGAGTTACATGAGAGATCATAACAAACGGGAGGCAGGACTAGATTGCAGCTCCCACTCAGATGGACAGAGCAGCATGTGGAGGCTCACATCATGAACTTTTGCTCCAGAACAACTGCAGAAATAAACCAGGGAAGCCAAGAGAATCCACAGAATTCCTCTGAAGGAAGCAGATTGCTCCTGAAGGACCTGGGAGACACCCCAAATACTGTGAGTGCCCAAACTGTGGAAGTGGGAAAGGTGGATCGTCCACCCCCAAACACTCACCCTCACTGGGGAACCTGAAGGTCTAGATCACGGGAGAAGATTCTGGCCTTACCTGGAGCTAAGTCCATTTAGAGAGCTAAGCAAAATACAGGGGTAGAGGAAACAGCAGGAAAAGCCCTATGGGCTCACTATGTCCCCTAGCAAGCCATTTCTGCCTTGCCTCATGGAGGTGCTTGGGGAGGGTGGCCAGAGGCACTAGGGAAAGGCCACAGGGAGAAGGAAACCTCCAGCTGAACTTTGTAACAATTTGAACAAATCTAGAAGTTTCCTGGCCAGAATTCAGGGGAGGGTGTGAATCTGGTGTGCAGACTCCACAGGCAAGGGAAGCATGAAAGCCCTACTTGCTTTCGCAGCTGGGGGGTGGGTAGCCTGGGGCAAGTTCTCAGCCCTGCTCACCCACTGCCTGGAAACAGACTTGGTGCTGTTGGAAGGGACACAATGGGAGTGAGACTGGCCCTTTGGGTTGCATGGAAGCTGGGTGAGACCTATTACTGTTGGCTTTCCCCCACTTCCCTGACAACCTGCATGACACAGTAGAGGTGCCCACAATCCTCCTAGGAACATAACTCCATTGACCTGGGAACCACACCTGTATCCCCCACAGCAGCTGCAGCAAGACCCACCAGAGGAGAGTCTAAGCTCAGACATGCCTAGCCCTGCCCTCCCACCTAATGGTCCTTCCCTACCCATCCTGGTAGCTGAAGACAAAGGGCATACACTCTTAGGAGTTCTAGGGTCCTGGCCACCACCTGTTTCTCCCCATACTACCACAGCTGATGCTCTCTTGAAAGTGCCACCTCCCACTGTGTTTGGAATTGGTGGGTTCTTGGTCTCACTGACTTCAAGAATGAAGCCACAGACCCTTGCGGTGAGTGCTACAGTTAAAGGCAGCATGTCCGGAGTTTGTTCCTTCTGATGTTCGGATGTGTTCAGAGTTTCTTCCTTCTGATGGGTTTGTGGTCTCGCTGGCTCAGGAGTGAAGCTGCAGACCTTCGCGGTGAGTGTTACAGCTCTTAAGGTGGCGCTTCTGGAGTTGTTCCTTCCTCCCAGTGGGTTCGTGGTCTCGCTGGTTTCAGGAGTGAAGCTGCAGACCTTCCTGGAGAGTGTTACAGCTCATAAAGGCAGTATGGACCCAAAGAGTGAGCAGCAGCAAGATTTATTGCAAACAGCAAAAGAACAAAGCTTCCACAGTGTGGAAGGGGACCCCAGCAGGTTGCCACTGCTGGCTCGGGCAGCCTGCTTTTATTCTCTTATCTGGCCCCACCCACATCCTGCTGATTGGTCCATTTTACAGAGTGCCAATTGGTCCATTTTGACAGGGTGCTGAATGGTGCATTTACAATCCCTGAGCTAGACACAAAAGTTCTCCATATCCCCACTAGATTAGCTAGATACAGAGTGTCGATTGGTATATTTACAAACCCTGAGCTAGACACAGAGTGCTGATTGGTGCATTTACAAACCTTGAGCTAGATACAGAGTGCCAATTGGTGCATTCACAATCCCTTAGCTAGACACAAAGATTCTCCAAGTCCCCACCAGATTAGCTAGACACAGAGTGCCGATTGGTGCATCCACACACCCTTAGCTAGACACACAGGGTGCTGATTGGTGTGTTTACAAACCTTGAGCTAGATACAGAGTGCTGATTGGTGTATTTACAATCCCTTAGCTAGACATAAAGTTTCTCCAAGTTCACACTAGACTCAGGAGCCCAGCTGGCTTCACCCAGTGGATCTTGCCCCGGCCGCAGGTGGAGCTGCCTGCCAGTCCTGTGCCGTGCGCCCACACTCCTCAGCCCTTGGGCGGTCGATGAGACCGGGCACCATGGAGCAGGGGGCAGCGCTCATCTGGGAGGCTCAGGCAATGCAGGAGCCCAAGGTGGAGGGCAGGGAGATTCAGGCATGGCGGGCTGCAGGTCCCAAGCCCTGCCCTGCAGGGAGGCAGCTAAGGCCCAGTGAGAAATCGAGCACAGCAGCTGCTGGCCCAGGTGCTAAGCCCCTCACTGCCCCGGGCTTGTGGGCCGTCCGGCTGCTCCGAGTGCGGGGCCGGCCAAGCCCATGCCCACCCGGAACTCGCGCTGGCCTGCAAGTGCTGCGCAGCCCCAGATCCCACCTGCGCCTCTGCCTCCACACCTCCCTGCAAGCTGAGGGAGCTGGCTCTGGCCTTGGCCAGCCCAGAAAAGGGTTCCCACAATGCAGCAGTGGGCTGAAGGGCTCCTCAAGTGCGGCCAGAGTGGGCACCAAGGCTGAGGAGGCGCCGAGAGTGAGTGAGGGCTGCAAGGGCTGCCAGCACTCTGTCACCTCTCACTGGCAGGAGGCCAACCCGCACAAAAATAGTGAATTAAACGATCAAAGCCAAGAACACTCACAGAGTCCATTTCACCCCCTGCCACTTCCACCATAGCAGGTGCTAGTATCCAAGGCTTAGAGACCCATAAATGGTTCATATCACAGGACTCTGTGTAGACAACTTCCAGTCCCACCATGGAGCCTAGTAGACTTGCTGGGTGGCTAGATCCAGAAGAGAGACAACAAGCACCACAGCTCAGCTCCCAGGAAGCCACATCTCTAGGAAAAGGGGGAGAGTATCACATCAAGGGAACACCCCATGGGACAAAGGAAACTGAACAACAGCCTTCAGCCCTAGACCTTCCCTCTGACAGAGGCTACCCAAATGAGAAGGAACCAGAAAACCAACTCTGGTAATATGACAAACAAGGTTCTTTAACACCCCCAAAAAATCACACTAGCTCACCAGCAATGGATCCAAACCAAGAAGAAATACCTGATTTACCTGAAAAAGAATTCAGAAGGTTAGTTATTAAGCTATTCAGAGAAGCACCAGAGAAAGGTGAAGCCCAATTTAAGGAAGTGAAAAAAAGATACAAGAAATGAGGGGAGAAATTTTCAATAAAATAGATAATATAATTTTAAAAAATCAAAACTTCAGGAAACAATGGATGCACTTATAAAAATGCAAAATTCTCTGGAAAGTCTCAGCAATAGAATTGAACAAGCAGAAGAAAGAACTTCAGAGCTTGAACATAAAGTTTTCAAATTAACCCAATACAACAAAGACAAAGAAAAAAGAATAAGAAAATATGAACAAAGCCTCCAAGAAATCTGGGATTATGTTAAATGACCAAACCTAAGAATAATCTGTGTTCCTGAGGAAGAAGAGAAATCTAAAGGTTTGGAAAACATATTTGGGGGAATAATTCAGGAAAGCTTCCCTGTCCTTGCTAGAGACCTAGACATCCAAATACAAGAAGCTCAAAGAACACCTGGGAAATTCATCACAAAAAGATCATCGCCTAGGCACATTATCATCAGGTTATCTAAAGTTAAGATTAAGGAAAGAATCCTAACAGGTGTGAGACAAAAGCACCAGGTAACCTATAAAGGAAAACCTATCAGATTAACAGCAGATGTCTCAACAGAAACGCTACAAGCTGGAAGGGATAGGGGCCCTATCTTCAGCCTCCTTAAACAAAACAATTATCAGTGAATAATTTTGTATCCAGTGTAACTAAGATTCAAAAATGAAGGAAAGATACAGCCTTTTTCAGACAAACAAATGCTGAGAGGATTTGCCACTACCAAGCCACCACTACAAGAACTGCTAAAAGGAGTTCTAAATCTTGAAACAAATCTTGGAAACACATCAAAACAGAACCTCTTTAAAGCATAAATCTCACAGAACCTATAAAACAAAAATACAATTTAAGAAAAAAAAGGTATACAGGTAACAAATAGCCTGATGAATGGAATGGTACCTCACATCTCAATACTAATGTTGAATGTAAATGGCCTAAATTCTCCACTTAAAAGATACAGAATTACAGAATGGATAAGAATTCACCAACCATCTGCTGCCTTCAAGAGACTCACCAAACACATAAGGACTCACATAAACTTCAGATAAAGTGGTGGAAAAAGACATTCCACGCAAATAGACACCAAAAGCAAGCAGGAGTAGCTAATCTTAGATGAGACAAAACAAACTTTAAAGTGACAGCAGTTCAAAAAGACAAACAGGGACATTATATTATGACAAAAGGCCTTGTTCCACAGGAAAATATCACGGTCCTAAACATATATGCACCTAACACTGGAGATCCCAAATTTATAAAACAATTACTAATAGACCTACTAAATGAGATAGACAGCAACACAATAATAATGGGGGACTTCAATATTCCACTGACAGCACTGGACAAGTCATCAAGACAGAAAGTCAACAAAGAAACAATGGATTTAAACTATACCCTGGAACAAATGTATTTAACAGATATTTACAGAACATTCTACAACCACAGAATATACATTCTACTCATCAGCACATGGAACTTTCTCCAAGATAGACCATATGATAGGCCACAAAATAAGCCTCAATAAATTTAAGAAAATTGAAATTATATCAAGCACTCTCTCAGACCACAGTGGAATAAAACTCAAAATCAACTCCAAAAGGAAACCTTCAAAACCATGCAAGTACATGGAAATTAAATAATCTGCTCCTGAATTATCACTGGGTCAGAAACGAAATCAAGATGGAAATTAAAAAATCCTTCAAACTGAACGACAATAGTGACACAACCTATCAAAACCTCTGGGCTACAGCAAAGGTGGTGCTAAGAGGAAAGTTCACAGCCCTAAATGCCTACATCAAAAGGTCTGAAAGAGCACAGACAACCTAAGGTCACACCTCAAGGAACTAGAAAAACAAGAACAAACCAAACCCAAACCCAGCAGAAAAAAGGAAATAACCAGGAACAGAGCCAAACTAAATGAAATTGAAACCGAAAAAAATACAAAAGATAAATGAAACAAAAAGCTGTTTCTTTGAAAAGATAAATAAAATTGATAGACTATTAGCAATATGAACCAAGAAAAAAAGAGGGAAAACTCAAATAAACTCAATTAGAAACAAAACAGGATATATTACAACTGACACCACAGAAATACAAAAGACTATTCAAGGCTATTATGAACACCCTTATTTGCATAAACTTGGAAACCTAGAGGAGATGGATAAATTCCTGGAAAGATACAACCCTCTGGCTTAAATCAGGAAGAATTAGATACCCTGCACAGACCAATAACAAGCAATAAGATTGAAATGGTAATAAAAAAAATTACCAACCAAAAAAAGTCTAGGACCAGATGGTTACACAGCAGAATGCTACCAGACATTCAAAGAAGTATTGGTGCCAATCCTATTGACACTATTCCAAAAGATAGAGAAAATCATTCTACGAAGCCAGCATCACCGTAGTACCAAAGCCAGGAAAGGACATAATGAAAAAAGAAAACTACACACCAGTATCCCTGGTGAACATAGATGCAAAAATCCTTAACAAAATACTAGCTAACTGAATTCAACAACATATCAAAAATAACCCACCATGATCAAGTGGGTTTCATATCAGGAATACGGGGATGGTTTAACATATGAAAGTCAATAAACAGATTTAAAAACAAAAAATCACGATTATCTCAATAGATGCAGAAAAGGCATTTGACAAAATCTAGCATTCCTTTATGATTAAATCTCTCAGCAAAATCAGCATACAAGGGACATGCTTCAGTGTAATAAAAGCCATCTATGACAAACCCACAGCCAACATAATACTGAATAGGGAAAAGCTGAAAGTATTCCCTCTGAGAACTGGAACAAGACAAGGATGCCCACTCTCACCACTTCTCTTCAACATAGTACTGGAAATCCTAGCCAGAGTAAACAAACAAGAGAAAGAAATAAAGGGCATCCAAATAGATAAAGAGTAAGTCAAACTTCACTGTTTGCTGATGATATGATTGTTTACCTAGAAAACCCTAAAGACTCCTCTAGAAAGCTCCTAGAACTGATTTTTAAAAATTCAGCAAAGTTTCCAGATACAAAATTAATGTTCACAAATTAGTAGCTCTTCTGTACACCAACATGGACAAAGCTGAGAATCAAATCAAGAACTCACCCCCCCTTTTACAACAGCTGCAAAAATAAAATAAAATACTTAGGAATATACCTAATCAAGGAGGTGAAAGCCCTCTACAAGGAAAACTACAGAACACTGCTGAAAGAAATCATAGATGACACAAAAAATGGAAACACATCCCATGCTCATGGATGGGTAGAATCAATGTTGTGAAAATGACCATACCGTCAAAAGAAATCTACAAATTCAATGCAATTCCCACCAAAATACAACCGTCATTCTTCAAAGACTAGAAAAAACAATCCTAAAATTCATACGGAACCAAAAAAAGAGCCCACATAGCCAAAGCAAAACTAAGCAAAATTAACAAATCTGGAGGCAAAACATTACCTGATTTCAAACTATACTATAAGGCCATACTCACCAAAACAGCCTGGTACTGGTATAAAAATAGGCACATAGACCAATGGAACAGAATAGAGAACCCAGAAATAAACCCAAATACTTATAGCCAACTGATCTTCAACAAAGCAAACAAAAACATAAAGTGGGGAAAGGAAACCCTATTCAACAAATGGTGCTGGGATAATTGGCAAGCCACATATAGGAGAATGAAACTGGATCCTCATCTCTCAGCTTATGCAAAAATCAACTCAAAATGGATCAAGAACTTAAATCTAAGACCTGAAACTATAAAAATTCTAGATTGGAAAAGACCTTCTAGACATTGGCTTAGGCAAGGATTTCATGACCAAGAACCCAAAAGCAAATGCAATAAAAACAAAAATTAATAACTGAGACTTAATAAAACTAAAGAGCTTCTGCACAGCAAAAGGAACAGTCAGCAGAGTAAACAGAAAACCCAGAGTGAGAGAAAATCTTCACAATCTATGCAACTGACAAAGGACTAATATCCAGAATCTACAATGAACTCAAATTAGCAAGAAAAAAAAACAATCTCATCAAAAAGTGAGCTAAGAACATGAATAGACAGTTCTCCAAAGAAGATATACAAATAGCCAACAAACATATGAAAAAATGCTCACCATCACTAATGATCAGGGAAAGGCAAATCAAAACCACAGTGCAATACTACCTTACTCCTGAAAGAATGGCGATAATCAAAAAATTATAAAATAATAGATGTTGGTGTGGATGCAGTGAAAAGGGAACACTTCCACATTGCTGGTGGGAAGGTAAACTAGTATAACAACTATAGAAAACAGTGTGGAGTATTTTTAAAGTACTAAAAGTAGAACTAACATTCGATCCAACAATCCCACTACTGGGTATCTACCCAGAGGAAAAGAAGTCATTATTCAAAAAAGACACTTGCGCACGCATGTTTATAGCAGCACAATTCGCAACAGCAAAAACGTGGAACCAACCCAAATGCCCATCAATCCACGAGTGGATAAAGAAACTGTGGTATATATGATGGAAAACTACTCAGCCATAAAAAGGAATGAATTAATGGCATTCATAGTGACCTAGATGATTGGGGACTATTATTCTAAGTGAAGTAACTCAGGAATGGAAAACCAAGCATTGTATGTTCTCACTCAGAAGTGGGAGCTAAACTATGAGGATGCAAAGCCATAAGAATGATACAGTGGACTTTGGGGACTCGGTGGGTAAGGGTGGGAAGGGGATGAGGAATAAAAGACTACGAACTGTGTGCAATGCATACTGCTCAGGTGAAGGGTGCACCAAAATCTCACACGTCATCACTAAAGAACTTACTCATGTAACCAAACACCACCAGTTCCCCAATAACGTACGGAAATAAAATTTTTTAATTAAATAAATAGTTATATGAAAAAAATAAAGATCTTAATTTACAATAATTATTTGAAATGTTAGTAATCATCTGAGCTTTCAGCAAGTCAGAATCTTTTTGCTGGTGAAGGATCTTGCCTCAATGTTGACAGCTAATGAGTGCATCAGGGTGGGGGATGCTAAAGGTTGAGGTTGCTATGGCTATTTCTTAAAATGAGATGACAATGATGTTTCCTGCATCAATTGACTTCCATCCACAAAATATTTCTCTGTAGTATGTGATGTGATGCTGCTTGATAGCATTTTACTCACAGTAGAACTTCCTTCAAAATTAGAGTCAATCCTCTCAAACTGTCCTGCTTTATCAACTAAGTTTATAAAATACTCTAAATCCTTTGTTGTCATTTCAACATCTTCAACTGAAGTAAAGATGTCAGCATCTTCAACTGAAGTAAATTCCATCTCAAGAAACCACTTTCTTTGCTCATCCATAAGAAGCAACTCATCCTTTCAAGTTTTATCATGAGATTACAGCAATTTAGTCACCTATTCAGGCTCCACTTCTAATTCTAGTTTTCTTGCTATTTCCACCACATCTGTAGTTCCTTCCTCCACTGAAGGTTTGAACCCCTCAAAGTCATCTATGAGGGATGGAATCTAATTCTTCCAAAACTCCTGTTCACAAGGAGTGAACACATTGTGATGCCAAGTATCACAAATGTTCTTAATGGCATCTAGAATGGTGAATTCTTTCCAGAAGGTTTTCAATTTACTTTGCCCAGATCTACCAGAAGAATCATTATCAGTAGCAGCTATAGTCTTATGAAATGTGTTTCTTTTTTTTTCTTCAACTTTTATTTTAAGTTCAGGGATACAGGTGCAGAATGTGCAGGTTTGTTACATAAGCAAATGTGTGCCATAGTGGTTTGCTGCACAGATCATCCCATCACCTAGGTATTAAGCCCAGCATCCATTAGCTATTCTTTCTGATGCTCTCACTCCACCCACCACAACAGGCCCCAGTGTGTGTTGTTCCCCTGCCCCATGTGTTTATGTGTTCTCATTGTTCAGCTCCCACTTATAAGTGAGAACATGTGGTGTTTGGTTTTCTGTTCCTGCATTAGTTTGCTCAGAATAATGGCTTCCAGCTCCCTCATGTCCCTGCAAAGGACATGATCTCATTCCTTTTTATGGCTACATGGCATTCCATGGTGTATATGTACCACATTTTCTCTATCAAGTCTACTGTTGATGGGCATCTAGGTTGATTTCATGCTTGTAGTGTTTCTGCTGAGACATCTGCTGTTAATCTGATAGATTTTCTTTTATACATTACCTGGTGCTTTTGTCTCACACCTCTTAGGATTCTTTCCTTCATCTTAACTTTAGATAACCTGATGATAATGTGCCTAGGCAATGATCTTTTTGTGATGAATTTCCCAGGTGTTCTTTGAGCTTCTTGTATTTGGATGTCTAGGTCTCTAGCAAGGACAGGGAAGTTTTCCTGAATTATTCCCCCAAGTATGTTTTCCAAACATGCCTTTGTTATTGTGAATAGTGCTGCAATGAACATACATGTGCATGTATGTTTAAAATAGAGAGTCAGCTCCCAGCAATCCCATTACTGGACATATACCCAAAGGATTAGAAATCATTCTATGACAAAGACACATGAACGCTTATGTTTATTGCAGCACTATTATAGCAAAGACTTGGAATCAACCCAAATGTCCATCAATGATAGACTGGATTAAGCAAATGTGACACATATACACCATGGAATACTATGCAGCCATGAAAAGGATGAGTTCATGTCCTTTGCAGGGACATGGATGAAGCTGGAAACTATCACTCTCAGCAAACTACCACTAGATCATAAAACCAAACACTGGATGTTCTCACTCATAAGTGGGAGTTGAACAATGAGAACATGGACACAGGGAGGGGAATATCACACACAGGGGCCTGTGGGGGATGGGGGGCTAGGGGTTAGGTTGGGGGTTACGGCCTTTGGGGGGTTAGGGGAGGGATAACATTAGGAGAAATACCTAATGTAGGTGACGGGTTGATGGGTGCAGCAAACCACCATGGCGCATGTATACCTATGTAACAAAACTGTACATTCTGCACATGTAACCCAGAACTTAAAGTATGATTTTTAGAAGAGAGAGAGAGAGTCAGCTTCTCCTTTGAAGAATTGCTTGAACCCAGGAGGTGGAGGTTGCAGTGAGCTGGGATTGCTCCACTGCACTCCAAGCTGGGCAAGACTCGATCTCAAAAAAAAAAAAAAAAATCCTATCCTCAGCAAAGAGGGACGAATTGACTTTCTCTTTTCCAATGTGGATGGCTTTTACCTCTTTCTCTTGCCTGGTTTCTCTGGCTAGTACTTCCAGTATTATATTGAATAAGAGCAATGAAAGAGGGCATCCTTGTTTTGTTCCAGTTCTTAAATGAAAGGGTTTCAACCTTTTCCCATTTGATATGATGTTAGCTGTGGGTTTGTTGTATATGGTCTTTATTGTTTTGAGATATATTCCTTCTATGCCTAGTTTGTTGAGAGATTTTTATCATGAAGTGATGTTGAATTTTATCAAATGCTTTTTCTGCATCTGTTGAGATGAACAAATGGTTTTTGTCTGTCATTCTATTGATATACTGCATCATGTTTATTAATTTGCATATGTGGAGCCATCCTTGCAGCCCTAGTATAAACCTCACCTAATTGTGGTATTATCTTTTTGATGTGTATTCAGTTTGCTAGAATTTTGTTGGGGATCTTGTGTCTATGTTCATCAGGGATGATATCATTATTATATCAGTTATCACTTCTTTTTTATTTCTGACTTTTTCTATTTGACTCTTCTCCTTTTCTTAGTCTAGCTAGCAGTTCATCAATTTTGTTTATCTTTTCAAAGAACCAACTTTTCGTTGATTCTTTCAATTTTTTTTAGTCTCTATTTCATTATGTCTGCTCTGATCTTTATTTCTTTTCCTCTGCTAATTTTGTGTTTGGTTTGTTATTACTTTTCTAGTTCTTTGAGGTGCATTGCTAGAATGTTCATCTGTAATTCTTCTGCCTTTGTGATGTAGGCATTTATTGCTATGAACTTCCCTCTTAGCACTACTTTTGCTGTATCCCAAAGATTTTGGTATGTTGTGTTTTCATTTTCATTCATTTCAAGAAAGTGTTTATTTCCTTCTTAATTTCTTCATTGGCCCAGTGGTCATTCAGAAACATGTAGTTTAATTTCTTTGTCTTTGTGTAGTCTCTAGAGTTCTTCTTGGTATTGATATCTAGTTTTATTCCATTGTGGTTGAGAAGATTCTTGACATAAATTTGATTATTTTTTAATTTGTTGAGACTCGTGTTGTGATCTAACATATGGTCTATCCTAGAGAATGTTCTATGTGCTGAAGAAAAGAATATATATTCTGTAGTTGTTGGATAGAATGATCTGTAAATGTCTGTTAGGTCTATTCAGTCTAAGATCCAATTTAGATCTAATGTTTGTTGATTTTTTTTTGTCTAGATAATCTGTCTAATGGTGAGAACTGGGATTAAAGTTTTCTGCTATTATTGTATTGCAGTCTCTCTCTCTCCTTAGATCCAGTAACATTTGCTGTACAAATCTGAGTGCTCCATCATTGGGTACATATACATTTAGAATTATGTCCTCTTGCTGGCTTGATCCCTTTATCATTATATAATAACCTTCTTTGTCTTTCTTTACTGTTCTTGACTTAAAAGTCTGTTTTACCTGATATAAGCATAGCTAATCCTGATCACTTTAGTTATGTTTGAGTGGAATATCATTTTCCATCCCCTTTACTTTTAGTCTATATGTGTTTTTTCAGATAAGGTGAGTTTCTTGTAAGCAGTTTATAGTTAGATCATGTTTATTTTTATCTGTTCAGCTATTTAATATTTTTAAGAGGATAATTTAATCTGTGTTCAAGGTTATTATTGAATAGTTATTTGAATAACAACAAATAATGAGGCTTTGTTTCTGTCATATTGTTGACTGTTTTGTGGTTGCTTTATAAATGACTTGTTCCTTTATTTTCCTCATAGTTTTTCATTGTATATTGGTAGATTTCTGTAGTGGTATCATTTGAGTGCTTTCTCTTCCTACTTTGCATGATTGCTTTACCACTGAGTCTTTTTCTTTCATGTGTTTTCATAATGGTAAATGTTATCCTTTCACTTCCAGGTTTGGAACTCTCTTCAGCATTTTTGTGGGGCTACTCTAGTGACAACAAATTCCCTTAGCATTTGTTTGACTAGGAATGGCTTTCTTTTGCAGAAGATAGTATTCTTGGGGGGCAGTTTTATTTTTCTTCCAGCACTTTGAACATATCATCTCATTCTCTTCTGGCCTGTAACATTTCGGCTGAGAAGCCACTGTTAGTCTGATGAAACTTCCTTTATAGGTGACTAGAGGCTTTTTCTTGCTGTTTTTAGAATTTGCTCTTTAACTTTTACTTTAGATAGTCTGATTTTAATGGGCTATGGGGAAGACCTTTTTGCATTTTATCTGCCTGGGAATCACTGAGACTCTTGTATTTGAATATCCTAAATCTGTGACTAGATTTGGGGAGTTTTCATCTACTATTTTATTAAACACATTTTCTAACTATTTCTTTGTTCCTTTATTATGAGGGATACCAATAATTTGTAAATTTGTTTGCTGTATGTTGTCCCAAATGTCACAAAGGCTTTACTCATTCTTTTTTATTCTTTTTTCTGTTTGGATTATTCCAAAAAGTCTTTCTTCAAGTTCTGAGATTCTTCCTTCCACTTGATCTAGTCAATTGTTGAAGCTTTCAATGAAAGTAATTTCCTTCAATGAATTCTTCATTTCCAAGATTTCTATTTATTTCTTTCTTAAAATATATCTTTGGTAAATTTCTCATTCATATCCTGAATTGTTTTTCTGATTTCTTTGCACTGTTTTTCAGAATTCTCCTGTATCTCACTGAGCTTCCCTAAAATCAAATATTTTGAATTATTTATCTGGCATTTTAAAAATTTCTTTTTGATAAGTATCTATCACTGAAGAATTATTGTGTTCCTTTGGAGGTGTCCTTTTTCCTTGCTTTTTGATGTTTTCTGTGTTTTTATATTGATACCTGCACATCTGAAGTAATAGTCACTTCTTACTATTTTTGAATTTACTTTTGTAGGGAAGAACTTTTTCTGAAGTTGTTATCTATGGTATTGGTTGGGTAGGGTACTTTGGTTTTGAGTCTGAACACATGCAGTAGTACAGTCTCTGTAAGATTTTTTTGGCTGTAAACAGTGTTAGTGCTATCTGTGATTTCCTCAATGGCTAAGGGTGCAGTTATTAGTGGAGGCTGTGGTTAAGTTGTGCTGGGGACTGAGATGCCAAGCGGGCTGGTCTTCAGGCCCCAACAGTAGCTGCAACGGGCTAAGTGTGCCTATTTTTGTGCTCCAGGATGGTATATACTGCCATCTGTGTTGGCAGTTACCAGCAGGTTGATTCTTAGGCCTCCAGGTGGCTTACTTGGATGCCACTAGTAACAGTGGTGGACCAGGCAGGTGAGCAGGTTCTCAGTCCACTGGGCAGCCAGACTGGCATTGGGAATGACAGTAGCAACGACAGGGCAATTCTATGGGTCCCAAGCAGAGTGTGGTGATGATGGTGGTGGCTGTGAAGGGCTTGGCAGGACAGTCTCCAGGCTCACAGGTGGTACTTGCAGGTAGGTGTCAGCTGAGGTGATAGTGGCTACAAGTTTAGGCCCAACCTTAGTTTTCCAGAAGGAGCACTCAGATATCCATGGTGGTCAGACTGGGTTGGGCAATCCCTGAAACCCTGAGCTATGTGCTCTGTCTCAGGGGGAGGGAAGGGGGTGCAGAAAGCTAAGCCCAGCTGGGTGGACTTGTGCTCTGGTCCCCTAATGGAAGGAGTAGGTGCCAGTTATAAAGGGCAAGGGCAGGGCAATTCTCACACCCCAGGTGGAGTGCTTAGATGAGAGACAGTAGCAGCCATGCTGAAGCTCCACTACCACAAAAAGTGAAGCCACCTTCAGTGGTCACAGCCTGAGCCAGTGGGTGGGGAACATGCATCCCCTTCACATCCCAGTCCAGGCAGGACTTACACCCACCCCCATCCAGGCTGCAAGAGTCCACACCCAGCTCCCAACCAAGTCCAAACAGCAACTCACACCCCTCTCACATCCCCATCTCAGATCCCAGCAGCACAAGGTTGGTTTCCTGGCACTGGCTCCTGCTACCTAGGCCTCACTCACTTTCTGGCCCTGTCTGCAGAAGTGCTCCCAACTCACTCACCCTGTCCCGGCAGCAACAGCCCAAGTTTCCATAACACGCCAGTCCTGGCACTTCTGGGTCCCAGGATATCATGCAGTTGCCAAAGGCTAGGTTTGAAAATGGCATCTTGCTGTAACTGTTTAGTCTCCGAAAGGATGTGGGACCCAGGATGAGCTCCCTTCCTGGAGCAGTTCCATCCTACAGTCTGCTGGCAACTCCTGATATTCATTGTAAGGATTGTACCCATACCTTGCTTGCTTCCCAGCCCTGTCTGCAGGAGCACTCCCTGTCCCAGCAGCAACAGCCCGAGTTTCCCATACGCACACTTTTCTACTGCAGTCTTTTAAAATAATGAGGCTGGGTACAGGGGCTTACTCCGGTAATCCTAGCACTTTGGGATGCCAAGGCGGGTGTTCGTGACCAAAAGTTCAAGACCAGCCTGGCCAACATGGTGAAACCCCAGCCTGGCCAACATGGTGAAACCCCATTGCTACTAAAAATACAAAATTAACTTGGCATGGTGGTGCATGTCTGTAATCCCAACTACTCAGGAGGCTGAGGCAGGAGTGTCACTTGAACCCAGGAGGCCAAAGTTGCATTGAGCCAAGATTGTGCCACTGCACTCCAGCCTGGGCAAGAGAGCAAGACTCTGTCTCAAAAGATATAAAATAAAATAAAATAATGAATAACATAATTAATAGTTTAATGTTGAATTAATCTTGCATTTCTCTAAGTACTACCTAGTCATGATGTAATAACCTATTTGAATATAGCTTGGTTGAATTCAATATTTTGTTTAAACTGTTTCAAGTTTCTTCTTGAATGAGATTGGGGTATTATTTTACTTACTTTTGCTTTCCCTGCCACAATATAATACAAGATAATTTTTGTATATCATAAGTCTTTTCTCTTTGACTTCTTTGAGATCTTCTCTTTACCTTTGGTGTTCTTCAGCTGTATTTTTATATGTATAGATATGGATTTTTTTTACCTTTTTGGGATTTGTTGGATTTTTAAATCTGGGAATTAGTATCTTTCAGCATTGAGGAGAAATTCTAAGTTATTATACTTTTTAAATGAATCTTTTATTTTACTATAGATTTCTATTTATAGAAAAGTTGGGAATATAGGATAGACAGTTCCTGTACATTTTACACTCAATTATCTCTGTTACTAACATCATTTATTATTATGAGCCAATGTTGATACATAAAACTACAGTTCATGGTTTATTTCTATTTTCTTAATCTTTACCTAGTGTCCTTTTCCTGATTCAGGATCCCAGCCACAATACCAGATTGTGTTTACTCCTAGTTTCCTCTTAGGCTGGTATTGAGTATGACAGTTTCACAGATATACTTTCTTTTTGATGATCTTGAAAATTTTGAAAAGTACTGCTCACATATTTTGTAGAATTTCCCTTAATTGGCATTTTTCTGATGTTTTTCTCATTATTAGACTGGGGTAATGGTTTTTTGGAAGGAAGGCCACACAGGTAAAGTACTACTTTCACCACATAATAACACAAGTACATAGCAATATGACTTATCACTGTTGTTGTTAACCTTGATCATCTGGCTAAGGTAGTTTTTTTAGGTTGCTCCTATTGTAAAGCTACTATTCTTCCCTGCTTCCATACCGTACCCATTGGAGGGAATTAGCTATGCACAGAACACACTTAAGGAATGAGGAGTTATGCTCTATACCTCTGTGGGTATAGTTATTACATAAGTTATTTGGAATTCAACTGTGTGAAAGATTTATTTTCCCTTATTTATTTACTCAATCATTTATTAATATTAGTATGTACACATAGATATTTGTTTCATACTCTGCATTTTAATCCATTATTACTTTCTATTGTGGCTCAAATTGTTCTCGTTTTGGACACTGGGAGCTCTTTCTGCTGTCTCCTGTGTCTCTTTGACATATCCCATCATTGCGGTTTGCATGTGTGTGTTTCATTTTTTTGTTTAAGCTCTTTCTTATTTTCTGACATTACAAGATGCTTTAGACTTACCTTGCAGATTTCCTGCCCCAATTCTAGAATCAGAGAATCAGCCATTTCCCAAATAGCCTGAATTACTTTCACTGGAAAACAATATTAGAAACCAAAACCTGGGTCCTAAATGTGCTCATTGCTACAGGGTGTTACTGCTTACATCTAGCACCCAGGTTTTGGTTATATATATATGCAGTAACTTTTTCTTGCCAAAATAAAGAAAATAGATGTTTGGTTTATTTCTAATTCACTCTTATACTTAGAGTGTAATGAGTAAAATTTCAGGCATATGGGAGGAATATGTTCTATGAAATTAATCACTGTGGTTGAGCCCTATATTCTATATTTTATTTCAGGTACTTAATTTGGCTATGTAAAGCAAAACTCAATTGTACAGAGCTTAGCAAATGCCTTCATGATAAAAACAAGCTTCTGTGCTCCACTTTCCCTTCTTTCCCTTCTGAGTTCTTAATTTCACTGGGTTTTTGGGTACAAAAAAAATGACTTACTCTTTTGCAAGATCATTAATCCATTATGACTATTGAAATTATTTTATCCATAATTTTGTGAGTTTGTCAGCAGGAAGATCAATTCAGGTGTCTAATCTGTCATATAACTGGAAACAGAAATCTTTCACTTAGTTTTCCTACGTATTTTCTTACTAGTAGCCTTGTGCCAAGAGAAAAGTCTAGAGAAATGCAACATACCTACCTTAGCAAAAGTCCCAAGCCAATGGTTTTGGTATCTATATATAGAATCCCATTAAGCCTTTCTAAAGACTTAAAGCTCCCTTGCTTCTCTCTGATATTTTCCCTACCTTTTCTCCCTAGAAAAGGGTGATCATTATCTCTGCTGTTTCACCATTTAGCTTATGACATCTATAATACATAGCGTGTGTTTACAGACCTACTATTTTAAAAAGCACTGAAAAAATATAATATAAAACTATATCTTAACCCTCATATAAAATAATTTCTTCATGGTGCTGAAAATGTTGCTGACAACTGGTCTGGACAACATAAACAGAAAGACTGATTGCTCAATGTTGATCTATAAAGAGACTTTTTTTTAACCAACAATTATTATATCATGCCTTTTTCTACTAATTTGCAATGTTCACGAAAAAAATTCTGCATTCTTCTTCTTGTTGTTGTTTTGTTTTGAATTTAAAGGAAAACAATTTTATGGATTTCAAAATCCTGTTCATTTGGTTATTTTATTTGTCTAACAGAAATTGAGACTTTAAAAATCTTTATACTTTGCCACTTAGAAAAAAATATTTAGTACAATTGTTCTTTCTCAGTAACTATCAACAATCCACATGGGAATGCGCTTGTTGTTAAAAGACTAGTTGAGATACTGCCACTTTGGACAAGCTGTAGAAGAGTCTGTGTATTTGACAGATCTAAGAAGCCAAATATGGTCATCACTGTATTACTCCAGTAAGGATGATTTCATGGCTATCAGAAAATTGTTAATCCAACTTAGTGATCCTCAGGCCAACCAGCAAGAACAAAGTTAAAAGCCAGATCTTATTCTAAAAATATTTTAATCACAAAAAAAATCAATGTTATGATTGTAAATGACATAAAACCTGAAGTCATCTTAGCCAGCAAGCTGACCATCAAAGTTTTGTCTTTGCTTCCATGGCAAGAACTAGACCCATGCGTGGAGTCAGAGCATCCAGGGTAAGGAAAGACTGAAAGAAAAATGCAGGAAATAATCAGAGCAAAGAGCTTTTAGGTAATGGGTGGAAGGGAAAAGACAGGAAATAGCCATAAAATAAAGTACCTCAAAGTAATTGTGGTAGGACAATGTCGTTGTTGTTTACCTACTTGATTTTCCTTCCTTTTTATCTTCTCTTAAACTTTGCCTGCCTCCAGCCATCCAGGTATGCTTTATCCTAGTGAAGCAAGTTAAGCAAGGTAGCTAGCAAGAATCCTTTTGGCATTTTATTTCCAAAACCATACCCCTTGTGATAGAGAAAGGGTCTCTAAGCATTCTGTTTTTAAGTTGTGGGGAGTAATCATAGGACAGAAGAGAGTCCCTTAAATGAAGAAAAGTTTCCCCTGAGCCAGGAGGAACAAGACAGATCGAGAATACCTATAGACATTCACAGCTCTCAGAGAGAGGACCTGCTTCCTTTTGCTGGGAAGAGCCTTGGGAGCAAAGATGGCAAAATCACATCTGAGTAAGTGGGAACTTGGACAGCCATGTAGAGATTCTCAGGCCCTTGAGAGTGACACTAATGGAAAGAACCAGATTCCTGAAGGAGTCAGACAGATAGACGCAAGGGATGCCTCTAGGACAGTTGGCACAGATTGATGGCAAAGATCAAAAGGGATGAAATGCATCTCAGGAGATATCCTTGTGGGCACCTTATATTGAAAATCAAATATAACTCCCCTCCTCCATACTCACTCCACCAGCAACCAAGGCTGGCCCTGATAAACACCACTTTCATACTGCACCTTATTTGTACTTGGTGAAAGGAGAAGAATCCTAAATGTATGTAGACTACATTTTCCCCATGTCAAAATGGGGCATGAAATAAAATAAATTGTGTTTTTACAAACTAAAGTATGTATTTTTTCACATATGAGTTGATGAGTAAGATTTGTATCCCGAATCCCAGCACTTTGGGAGGCCGAGGAGGGTGAATCACCTGAGGTCAGGAGTTCGAGACCAGCTGGACCAACATGGAGAAACCCTGTCTCTACCAAAAATACAAAAGTAGCTGGGCGTGGTGGTGCATGCATATAATCCCAGCTACTCGGGAGGCTGAGGAAGGAGAATTGCTTGAAACCCGGGAGGCAGAGGTTGCAGTGAGCCAAGATCATACCATTGCACTCCAGCCTGGGCAATACGAGTGAAACTCCATCTCTAAAAAAAAAAAAAATTTAATAGGTCGGGCTCGGTAGCTCGCTCCTGTAATCCCAGCACTTTGGGAGGCCGAGGTGGATGGATCACAAGGTCAGGAGATCGAGACCATCCTGGCTAACACAGTGAAACCGCGTCTCTACTGAAAAGACAAAAAATTAGCCAGGCGTGGTAGCGGACACCTGTAGTCCCAGCTACTCGGGAGGCTGAGGCAGGAGAATGGCATGAACCTGGGATGCAGAGCTTGCAGTGAGCAGAGATCACGCCAGTGCACTCCAGCCTGGGCGACAGAGCGAGACTCCATCTCAAAATAAAAAAAAATTTTTTAAATTTGTAGCCCCACTGCATTAAAAGTAGATAGTAATCCTTTTATCCCAAACATACTGCAGGAAAAAGATAGGCATGATCAAAAATTATAATAATAATAATTAACCCAAATAGAAGAACTGATACAACAAAACAACCCCATGTCAGTAAGAGAAGCTATTTTGTAAAGGTTTGTAACAGAGACCTCGCCATCATTTTATCAGCGCACAAGTATTTATGGCACCAAATTTATTATACCAAAAGGATCAAGTAGAATAATGGCTGAGGAGGTCTCTCTTCATGACAGAATTTTTAACAATTGTGAATATAAACTAATTTCAGAGTGCTTAGGCAATGACAGTTACTGTACAAAGAAAAAGTCAGTTTGTGATGGACTAAAATGGATCACTAGAATTAAGCCATGAAAGCAATAATAACCCTGTTCATCTCCAGTATGGACATTTCCCTTGACAGTCCTGCCTTATGAGTTTACCTAATATTTTAAAGAGGAAGAATTAGTTATTATCATTAGAGTAGGTGATGTATATATCTAAATATACATATAATGAGAATAATAAGGGCTATGTTTATTGTGTAACTACCAAGCTCACGGCACTGGCCCCAAGCTAAAAGTGTATGTCAACTTTTGTTAAAGTTCCTCTGAATCAGGTAGACTCACGTGTCAGATGTAGTTACTATAATGGTGCCCAGACTAGAACAACCTGCAAGTATCATCTTTACACAATCAGCTCTAAATACAAATGAGACATTTTTAACTTTATATATTCTAGCTGTTGATTAGCTGTTGAATGACCAAAGAATTTCTCCTGCATAGGAGAAGGGCATTTAGAACCCAAAATCTGTGTACATTTCGTGTGACTCAGAAATAGCATCAAAAGTAAATTTAACTAATGAGTATGTTAATAAGAAATTTTTTATGAATACTTGCTATAAATCTATAAACCACTGAGTTTCCAACTATAATCATGAGATCCATCTCCATATTTCAAACATTAGAGTTATTTTTATTTGAAATTTTTAAAAGATAATTATTAAGAAAATACCTTTTCTAGTATTTCACTATTATGTAAACATTGATAAGCTATTTAGAATGTCATCTTATTTTTTTTTCTATTCTTCTTTCTCTTGCTTGCAATTTGGTCATTATACACTATTAATCACATTAAGACAGTAGAGTAAGAAGCCATGGGAGGAAATTGAAAATAATCACTCAAACGAATTTTAAAACTTAATATGGAAATTAGAACATTAGTGTTCTGCCTTAACAATAATCTAAAATAAATGGTGATTAGCTTAATACTAGAAGATACCACAAGGCATGAAAATACATACCATAAACTGAAAAGCTAGTGCCCCATGTGTTGTATGACAGAAATTGATAGTTCTCATTAACAATAATTTAGAAGGCATACTACTTCCCTATTGAAGCAGTGGCTCTAGAGAAAATGGATAGAAAGAAAAAGAAGATGCGTTGGCTTTTGCCTACTTATTGATTTTAGCAGGTAAGTCTATAAGTGTTTGAGCCTCAAACTTTGGTTCTCTAGATTTGCACCAGCAAGAAACCAACCTCATGGAAGATTCTCTTCCAATGTACATGTCATATGATTACATGGGTGAAATCGAAAGTCATGGAAGGCAATGGATGAGGAATTTCCCCCCCAAGAAAAAGCTGCATTTATTTGATGTGTGATAGAGGATGTTCTGCCCAGAAATTTGCTGACCAAAGGGGCAAACTGTGGCAGAGATGATCACAACAAAATATATACTCTTCCTCCTACAGCAGGGGTCCCCAATCCCCAGGCTGCTGCCTATGGCCAGTTAGGAACTGGGCCGCACAGCAGGAGGTGAGTTATTGGGGGACCTGCCCCGATAATCACGTAGGTTCTTTTCTATTTTCCTAAGCATCGGCTGGCTTGAGAAATAAAGGGACAGAGTACAAAAGAGAGAAATTTTAAAGCTGGGCATCCGGGGGAGACATCACACGTTGGTAGGATCCGTGATATCCCCACAAGCCACAAAAACCAGCAAGTTTTTATTAGGGAGTTTCAAAAGGGGAGGGAGTATATGAATAGGTGTGAGTGACAGACATCAAGTACTTAACAGGGTAATAGAATATCACAAGGCAAGTGGAGGCAGGGCGAGATCACAGGACCGCAAGACCAAAGCGAAATTAAAATTGCTAATGAAGTTTTGGGCACCACTGTCATTCATAACATCCTATCAGGAGACAGGGTTTTGAGATCAACCGGTCTGACCAAAATTTATTAGGCAGGAATTTTCTCTTCCTAATAAGCCTGGGAGCGCTATCGGAGACTGGAGTTTATTTCACCTCTGCAATCTCAACCACAAGAGACAGGTACGCCCTGGGGGGGCCAGTTCAGAGACCTACCCCTAGGTGCGCATTCTCTTTCTCAGGGCGGTTCCATGCTGAGAAAAAGAATTCAACGATAATTCTCCCATTTGCTTTTGAAAGAAGAGAAATATGGCTCTGTTCTGCCCGGCTCACCGGAGGTCAGAGTTTAAGGTTATCTCTCTTATTCCCTGAACAATTGCTGTTATCCTGTTCTTTTTTCAGGGTGCCCACATTTCATATTGCTCAAACACACATGCTGTACAATTTGTGTAGTTAACACAATTATTACAGGGTCCTGAGACGATATACATCCTCCTCAACTGACAGGATTAAGAGATTAAATTAAAGACAGGCATAGGAAATCACAAGGGTATTGACTGGGGAAGTGATAAGTGTCCATGAAATCTTTACAATTTATGTTTAGAGATTGCAGTAAAGACAGGCATAAGAAATTACAAAAGTATTAATTTGGGGAACTAATAAATGTCCATAAAATCTTCACAATCCACGTTCTTCTGCCATGGCTTCAGCCGGTCCCTCCATTTGGGGTCCCTGACTTCCCGCAACAGTGAGTGGCAGGCCAGGGAGCATTTCCGCCTGAGCTCTGCCTCCTGTCAGAGCAGTGCACCATTAGATTATCATAGGAGTGCAAATTCTATTGTGAACTGCACATGCGAGGGATCTAGGTTGCGAGATCCTTGTGAGGATCTAATGCCTGATGATCTGAGGTGGAACTGTTTCTTCCTGAAACCATCCATGTCCCCTACTACCCCCATGGAAAAATTATCTTACATGAAACTGTTCCCTGGTGCCAAAAAGGTTGGGGACCACTGTTCTACAGTAAAAAGTATAAAGTTGTCACTGGGAAGTGGCTGGCCACCCAGCCAGGATACATTTTCCACCACCACCACAAACCCTCCCCTGCCCACATTCTGCTTGCATCTAGCTGTGTCCTTCTAACTTGTTCTTTTCATTGCAATGCTATGGATAGTACATGTGTCATTTTTGAGCCAAAACTTTTCAAAAGGGTCAGCATAAAACAATATCCAGGATTGGACTGTACACCTATTGAAAAAGTGAAAATATGCATAATTCACATAAATCTCTCACTTTTTCTACATAAAACAACGTAAATTTTTATACCCATTATAGTTTTCATTCACCAAAGGTTTATTGAGTACCTCTGATGAACTAAGCACTGCCCTAGCTGACGAGGGCAGAACAGTAAACCAAACAAAGTTCCCACCACCTTGAAATTCTATACTAGAGGCAGACAGCTAGCAAGCAAATATAGTCAGCTGACCATTGAGGAATGACGCATAGTAAGTGGATAGAGTAGGATATGGGTAGTATTATAGATAGGGCAGTTGAGAAAGGCCTCTCTGTGGATATGACCTTTGAGTAGAGATCTAAATAGATTAAAGGAGTAAATCATATGAGTGTCTACCAGAATATTCCCAGAAGGGGAAACAGGAAATCTTTTCTAGTTGTTTTCTATCTAGACATCTTGTCCTACCGAATAAGATTATGTTCCTAAAGATATCGTCTACTTATTTTGTACCTACCTCAAATAGATATTCTCAAGTTGAACTCTTAACAGTATACACAAAAAGGAGCAGTGAGATTTTTATAAAGACAGATTATATGTACTGATATCAAAAATAACATTCTATATCTTGAGTATATAGTATTAATATCTACTAAGCTACAGAAGGAAATAGCCAAGGCAGCTCAAAACACACACACACACACAAAATATTCATCAATGAAAGAGGTTTCAGGACTAGCAATACACATGTGTGATCACAAAAGTAAAACTCTGACGGCGGATTTTCACTGGTATGTATATCCTTTCATGGGAACACTGTATGTCACTATATTACATGGATACTTATTTTCTTTTAAGCAATACATTCAAAAAAACAAGATGAGTTTGACGGAGAAAAGATAGCAAATGTGCATGAGTGAAATTCAATTTTGTCAGGAGAAATAAATGTTTAGATAGCTAATATATTTAAATTTTATTTTAAAGGTTTGTAATTATCAATTCCATTTTGAATGTGCAAAGAAAGACACAGTAAGGAAAGTTGGCAAACTTAAATTGTACGGTTTTGAAAGTGGATGTATTCATGCTAAGAAATACAGATTTAGCAGATTAATCCACTCATAATCAATTCATTATCTTGTACTTTAGAAATAAAGAGTTTGAAGCATTAGCTCGAAATGGAACTTGTACTCAATTTCAACAAACAGAGTTAAGTTATGCTCACATGTCTTAAAAGTTAATTTATGCTTATGGGCCTTTAAGTTATGCTTAAGAGCCTAACTTTATATTTCAGCTAAAAATTCTACATGCATTTGACCAACTCTCTGAGGCAAACTTGTCAGAAAATAGATTATCTGATACATCTAAAATCTAAATACATTAGCTCATCTTGATATTTGAAAATATCAACTGGGGAAGATTTCGGAAACAACAAAACAAGGTAATTTTTTTTTTTCCACAAAACAAAACGCTTTTATTTGGTCCATTGGATCCTGAGTCGGAAACCACTGTGGAGAATCCTATCGTAAAGGAACGGGGCTGACAGTTGATAAAATAGTCTGTGTGTCACAACAGCTGGCCATATTTACAGGGTTAAAAATATTCACAGCTTAGAGTACAGGGAGGCCAAAGGGGAGTGGGGGGTGTTTCTCCAGGTGAAAAGCCCCGGAAGCCCCTGGGAGGGTACCGGGGGAGTGAGGGCGGGGCTGGCCCGCTGCCTGAGGGCAAGGGGCCAGGAGGGCCGGGTGGGGACGCAGGAAGCTGGGCTCAGACGTCCAGGCATCCATATTCCCTGGGCTTCTTGGGGGAGGTGGGAGAGGCTGAGCCCTGACGACGCCCACGATGGGCTGGGGTCCCTCTCTGTGGCAAGGCCGGGCCAAGGGACAGGGTTGGCTGAGGAGCCTGCTGGTCCCCGGCCTGCCCGGCGGCGGCGGTGAGCGGTGCTGAGGACCAGTGCCCACCCACAGAGGGCCTGGCGCCCACCTGCACCTGGTGATGGCTTTGATCCTGGCGGGTGCTCCAGGAGTTGCAAAGTGTCGCTGGAGGGTGGCTGGCCAAGGGCCGCTCCTTCTGAGACAGGCACCGCCCCGGGACTCGCCGCTCCACTCCAGGGCTCCAGGGACCCAGCTTGCCCCGTGGGGGACAGGGATCCAGGCTCTGGGGGAAAAATGACCTTATGCCCCGTGAGGGGATGGTCCCTGATCCCACCCCGGGGTCTTGGCCTCTGACACCCAGATTTGGTTTTGTGGACAGAGCTCTTGGCTGCCTCCCCGGCAGGAGACCCTGAGCCCACAGGGAGGGGCAGCCTAGCCTCGGCCCCGAGTCGGGTGTTGGGCTCGAGGCTGACAGGTCAGGGGGGCTCGATCACAGCCCGCCAGATTCGAGGTATTCTGCGTGGCGGCCAGGAGGCCTGGCCAGGTGGACTGTGGGTGCTCAGGGAGGGGACGGAGGGGGGCGGGGGGCCCATGGGAATCTACTCCCTGGGCTGGCAGCTCCCTGGGCAGGGTCCTGAGATTCTGGTTCAAGTGTCCTCTGTCGGGGTCTCCCTCATAAAATGCGTGTTGGGGGTGGGGGATCCGTCTGCACACAGTCCCTGCCCCCAGCATGGTGGTCACAGGGCCGGGGCCCATGCAGACCGGCGACCTCTGGCGTGAGCGGTGCAGGGGACTGTGGGTACCCTAAAACAAGGTAATTCTTAAGACAGGGTCACCTTAAAGAATATGAGATGCATATTCACAGTTAAGAGTTTGGACTATGGAACCAGATGACCTGGCTTCAAATTCTAGCTCTGCCATTTATCATCTGTGTATCCTCAACGGATAGCTAACATCTCTGTGCTTCAGTTTTTCATCTATAAAATGGGAGAAATAATAACCCTTCTTATGTTTACTCCAAGAAGTGAATAAGTTAACGTACATAAAATAGGTAGACCAGTGCTTGACAGGCAGTACACACTGTGATGGCTTGCTATTATTATTACTAGTATTGCAAGTTTCTTTTTAATCTATAAAGAAAAAAATTTTTTCTCTTACAGTTATGGAGGCTGAGAAGTTCAAGGTTGAGGGGCTGCACCTGGTGGGGGCTTTCTCGATTGTAAGGACTTTCTGCGGAGTTGCAAGGCAGAGCAGGGTGCAAGATTTTTAAGAGAATTAAATGAGGTAATTTATGTAATACATGTAAAGCGTTCAGCATAGTGGCTAATACAAATGATAACTTCTGGTTGTCACATTCTCATCATCTAAACCTCTATACCCAGTCTGCCATCTGGCAAATTCTGATATAGAAACCAACAAAAGGATGTTAAACAGAAATAAGCATTGTTACGGCACCACCCTGGAGGAAATGCCATATATTCCATCTGTCTATTTTGGGCACAAGATTAAGACAATTATTTAGAGATTATCTTTCTAAAATAATGCCTAAATTCAATTTTTTCATCTTTCTGTGAATTTCTATAAAGACTATGAGAGTGTTAATTAACAATAATGGAAACTACAAAATGAGATGAAAACTGTATACAGTTTAGTAAACTGAGGATTTCTGCATAAATATACATACAACGAACCTTAGTTGCACACAGTAGGATCCTGCTATTTGTTTTCAAATCTTCGTTACTGAGGAATCGGAAATCATTCCTCAGATGTAAGGAAACCCTTCATGTCTGACTGATCTTACCTGAATTCTCTCCTTTCTTCACAGATTCTGAATTATTGGCTAATCTTTTCTGTTTCTTCTCCTTCTGATCCCATGCCAGTTTAAAATAGGCACTTGATTGTATGAGGACTTTTAATAGTGATTGCAGACAATTTATGATATTTCCAACTACAAGTATCAAGTTTAAGCCTTTTGGAGGAAGATTTCAGACTGTGTTCCTACATCTCTAATGGCCTTCAACTTCAAGGAATTTAAGTCAGTCAAGGATGGGAGTATCTTTCCTTAGATGTTAACAAAATTGCAGAATGCCTACCTTTCTGTAGTTATCATCAAGTAACAGTTTCTCTCCATTTGTACAATGCTAGCTCTTCCTCTGGGTTCCTGTCCTCAGGTTTCTCTATGATCTGTGCTTGTCACACATATTTATTGAGTGCTCACTATATCCTAGGAAATTCTCTAGGCCTGGAGAGATACAGCAGTGAACAAAACAGAACCCTGCAGCTTCAGTGTTAACAGCATTTACAAAAAGAGTAAATCCTGTCTAATTACATGAAAGATAAAAATTGCATGTTTAGTTACATGTAAAAAAGTCTTGGTTTTTATAATGTATTCTGAGTATTTTTTATACGAAACATCTTTTCTGGGAGATGCAACTTGTTCTGAGAACCTCAATAGCAGGTATGACACTGACTATATATCAAGAGTGTCATCTTCCAAAATAAGTAAACAACTGCAATGTAGTAGTCAGCACTGGCTACCATAATTGTGAGATGAACTCTGGTATAGACAGGAAAGCCTTCAAACTGGAAAAATCATAGGCTGTTAGATTGATTTCACATGATCTATCTGCAAGGATCATCCTTTCTGTTTCAAAGTTTTAAAACAAATCTTCTCCGGTTACAACTACAGTCACCTTAGAAGTAAATTCATGAGAAGAACTATCTCTTGAGGTACTTCCACATTAGTTCATTCACTTAATGAAACACACAATCATATAAAGATGAGGGTAAAATGTAATGCAAAACATCCAATGAGAAAAGTGAAGACATGCTTTAGAATAAAAACTAATACTACCAAAAAGAGAAATGAGAGAAGGATGGAATATTTCTCATCCATTCATACAAGCATTTTTTCAGCTCCTAGTGTAAATGAAGCACCATGCTAGGTGCTGAAGGTGCTATGTATAAGGATAAATATTACTCAATGACAAGATTCAAAACACAGAGTATTATTGAAGAATGATAATGATTCTTTATTTTTCTTAATTTGTATTAGATTTAATGGGTCTACTTCCAAGTTTTTTAGACTTAATTTTTTTATTCTCAAATATTTGATGAAATTCCTATATGTTTACTCTATTTCCATTACCATATATGTATACACACACACACATATGTTTCCAAACATAAGTGCATATATAATATGCATTTATGTAATGTTTAATTTATTAATAAAAATGCTCAATACTTTCATCTTATTTTTTTCGGGAAGAACCCTTGAATATATGAAATTATAGAAACAATTGAGGTTAAAAATACATATACTAATGTACACTTGGACACTATATGCAAAAGCAATTCCTAATTTGGATTTCTTGTTTCCATTTATAAGAAATTTGTGAAAGTATTATTTGTCTTATTCACATGGAACAATTATCCTTAAAATAGCATTAAAAGCATATTTTCACAAGTGGAAAAACTGAGATTAGGCATTATATTTAAGACAATTAATTCACAGCCTAGCACTGAAATGTAGGCCTCCTGTGCTCTTATTTCAGTGCATTTGTATCTAGCCATTGTTTTAAAGACAAGGGAATGCATTTGAGATATTAAAGAGAAACAAAGGGAAATGTGGGTCCCAGCCCAAGAGGATCAGAAAAATGTCATTTTGGGGTCTAGTAGTGGCGACAACACAAACATGGAATACAAGCCCATCCATGGTCTGACTCCTGCTCAGGTTCCTCTTTTCTTACTCCTTGTGTATTTGTCCATTCTCTCATTGCTATAGAGAAATACCTGAGACTAGGTAATTTATAAGGAAAGAGAGTTAATTGGCTCACCGTTCTTTAGGAGGCATAGCAGCATCTGCTTCTGGGGAGGCCTCAGGGAGCTTTTACTCATGGCAGAAGGCAAAGCAGGAGCAGGCACTTCACATGGCGAAAGCAGGAGGAAAAGAAAGAGAAAGGGGAGGTGCTACACACTTTTAAGGACCTGATCTCACAAGAACTCACTCACTATTGCGAAGACCATACCAAGAGGGATGGTGCTAAACCATTCATGAGAAATCTGCCCCCATGATCCAATCACTTCCCACCAGATTGAGGATAACATTTCATATGAGATTTGGGTGGGGACACACATCCAAACTATATCACCCTGCCTCACACTTTATACTACAACATTAAATGATGTGCTGTGTCCTACACATATTTTGTTGTTTCTCACCAGGTTCAAGCAATTCTCCAGCCTCAGCCTCCTGAGTAGCTGGGATTACAGGTGTGCACTACCACGCCCGGGTAATTTTTGTATTTTTAGTAGAAACAGGGTTTCGCCATGTTGGCCAGGCTGGTCTCAAGCTCCTGGCCTCAAGTGATCTGCCAGCCTTGGCTTCCCAAAGTGCTGGGATTACAGGTGTGAACCACTGCACCCAACCTGTTGTCTCTCATTTCACTGTCTATGTTCATTCATCTTACTCAGCCTGGAATGCTGGGCTCCCCCTTCTCCACTTCTTTTCTTCTCTTTTTCATGCACATTGTTTAAGTCTCAGCGTAGACATCTCTAGTATGCTTTCCTTAGCCACCGCCCCATCTTCCAATCTATTTTCTGCTCAATATCTTCAGCATTTCCATCACTATGCAATCCACATTGTATTAGTAGCATTAGATTGAATCAAATAATGAAATTTCTATTATTTGGTTAATATTAACCTACAAAAATGGTGAGTCACTTTCTACCACTGGGCTGTAAACTCCTTTGGGTAGGGGGATCTTAATCACTGTGCATCCCTTTCCTGCTCAGAATGGACCCCAATAACTATTTACCTGAATTAATGAATAGTTTAGGGACAATCACAGAAATTTCTAGCATGCTGCTCATACTGTCCTGAGCCCTAATTCAAGCTGGTTTCAGGGTCCACTCACCCCTTCAATGGGATTAAGACATAAATGAACTAAATATTCTTCTTTGTAATGATATGCTGTGTTTTTTACAATGGAACAGGGCTCTGTGTAATATTTTTTCGTTGTCAGTTCTTGAGAATTGCATGGCTTCTTTGGAAACGATATCTGTCCCCTAGCAACAGCTCTCTGTCAGCTACATTCATAAATCAATACAAAGAGAGAGAGTGAGAGACATGGGGTGAGCATTCGTGGTTTCTTGGTTGAGCATAATTTTTACTTGACACAAGATTCAATTGATTCAAACTGATTATGTACCGAACTGTCTCTGATTCTCCTTGGCTTTAGTTCTGTATACCCCAGCTTCATCCTAAAATTAGCCTGCTTACAGCAGGCCTCCTCTGCCTTCCTGGGGCCATTCAGTGATACCAGGCAAATGGATTATGAATAAGAAGCAGATATATGATTGACCTTCTACCACTCACTACTCGTTTATCCATATTTAGCAAAAATCTACTGTGTTTCCAGAATTGAGCAAGGATTACAAAGGGGGATAAACTAATAACTCTTGCATTCAAGCAGCTCAGAATTTTGTGAGAATAATGAGGCATATAAATCAACAATGGCCAAATAAAGAGGAAAACACATATTAGAGATATATACCAGGCATTACAGCAGTGAGGGAGAATTTTAACTCTGAATGGTTTCTGAAATACATGTGTAGAATCAGACAATTAGAACATTGGTGACCTTGGTGAGAACAGCAAAAGTGTCTACTGGAAAGGAAATCCAGAAATTAATTTGTTAAAGTACACTTTGAGGATGAAGAACTGGAGACAGACACTAAGGCAATTTTTTCAATGTGTACATCTGATATACATTATAATAACATTAATAGTGAAATTAAGTAAGGTTGAATTATGGAAAGGTGAAGGGATAAAGTGCCTAGAAATTTCTCTATATTTTTACTGATCCTATGGGTTAGGCATCTTTAATTTCTGCCTTTTAGGAACAAGGAAACCAATACACTAGACTTGAAAGACAAGAGCAAAAATATCATTAGTTAGACTTTTTTAAATATTAGATCAATTTCTCACTTCGCACAAAGATTCTACTTTCCAAAGCACTTTCACTTTCATTTGGGAATTTGATATTCCCAAATGTCCCCAATGGGCATTTAACTCAGAAAAATAAAGAAATGGAATGAACATTAAGTAATTTATTTAAGGTCACATGGTTCCAGATACCTGTATCTAGTCTAGTACTCTTCTACCCTAACAGAGAAAATAACTTTCACTCTTCCAATGTTTGAATTGCCATTTAGTCTCCTTAGGTAGCACATCACCCAAAGTCCAAAAAAGGCCACTGCGCCTCCCATAGTCAACATATATTGCAGGTTCTTTTCTTCTTTTCTCCCAAGTGTCAACCATTTTGAGGCAGAATAATTTAATGATTGACAGGCAAGATTCTGGAGCCTCCATTTAAATCCAGGCTTTGCTACTTACACTGTGATCGTGGCAAGTAACTTAACCTTGTTATGACATGGTTTATTAATCTGTGAAATGGAAGTTACAGTAATAGTACTTACTGCCTAAGACTGTTTTAAACATGAAATAACAATATAAGGAAAGCACTTTGAACAGTGCCTTGTACATAGTAAGTGCTGTATGTGTATTTGCTATCATTATTATTATTTCTTTGTTGGATAAGAGGTGAGCATATGACTCGGACATCAGAAGAGGGTAAGGTGATAGTCAGATTCATTCCTTTCAATCGCCACCACTCATGAAGCCAGTCATTCCATTAAGATGTTCAAGAAGAGATAGATTTTTTTCCCACAAATCTAGGGAAAATTACTGGTAAAGACTGTAATGCAAATGCTTAAGTAAGACAAAATGAAATATTTGAGGATTTCTTTATTCATGCCATCTCTTTTCTAATATCAGCCTAATACTGAAGAGTTGGTTTGGTGTTTAACTTACCCACCAACCTCTGAAAAATAATTTCTACCTTCCTCCCTATTTACAATGAACTTCAATCCCTTTCTGCCTATTTTTGTGAAAAATTCTATGTTGAAGAAATATGCCTTTTTCTTAATTCAAGGGTGGGAAAGGAGCTGTGGGAAAAGGGAAGGTGGTGAACAGTAAGAAGTGAGAGTAGCAGGAAGCAAATTTGCAGGCTGACTTCCATTTTCAGTGTTCTTATCTGATGGTTTCTCAATTGAGTTTTGTGCCTCTTGAGGGAATATGCTCTACCTAAGAATTTCATTGAAAGGCTGTCCAAATCATTCCTTTCAAATATAACGATGTGCTTCTCAAAGAGAAAAGTAGACCCTGCTCATTTGCCTCTGTTTTTCAACTGGTTGAGCCAAATTATGTAGAAAAATAATAAAAATGTTTAAGTAGATAACATATAGAATTTGAAGAACTCTAACATTTAAGAATCATTACGTTTCTATGCTCTAAGAATTTTCAATATTATATTATTTGATCCATATAGTTACACTACAAAGTAAATATGTTCATGTTACAGATGATGAAACTGAAGCTGAAAAAAGTCAAATAATTTGTCCAGGACCACAGACCCAATAAGTAAAGACCTCTGTGGAATTTAAATGTGGATCTAATATTGTTCAGGGGATGAGAAAACAAAATAATATGAGCTCTCTCTTCATTGAGGAGAACCTAAAAATACAAAATAGTTATTACCAAAGTACTTAAGAATGTACAGATAAAAATTAGGTTGAAAGAAACAGGTAAATCAACACTCCATTCTGCTATATTGTAAGTGAACAAATTTCATAGGTTATAGATTTTCAGCTATTTAATATAAAAAAGGAAACAAATACTATTTTGTCAAGTTTACATTTTAACATAGACCTATAATATAGGTCTAATTTTCATCTCTATACATTGGATAATTGCTCAAAGACTTGAAACATGATTTTTGGGGATATACTATTCATTGTTCATGAAATATATCACTTATATATCAGGATGTTTCACTCAAGATGTAAATAAAATCCCATTTTTTGTATTATGCTTTTCCTTTTCATAGGTCTCTAAAAATCTATTATAAAGTCAGAATATGTTTTGGTTTTGAGACGACTAGCAAGATTCTTTATCCCCCTTTTGAAAGGCTAATGAGATAGAGGAGGGAGACTTTAAATTTTTTAATCTTTTTTAAAGTTTCAGAATACAATATATAAAGTTCATTTATTGCCTTACTTTATATTAAAAGGAGGAACCTTTTTTCTTCATGTACCAGAGAATTACATGCATTTTTATGTTCACTAGGGAATAAAACAGAGCTTTTTGTTTGTTTTGTTTCATTTTGCCTTTTTAAAAGAAGTTCTTCTGAGACTAATTTATTGTACCTTTGAGGTTAAAAAATGAATGAATCGCTATGCTATCCATTCAGTCACTAATCCACTCATCCCATGAGTAATCCTTTTGTTGTTAGAATTGGAGTATATTGCAATAGGATGTATCAAATGCCATTATTTCACTTAACAAATTATTTGAAGCTAGAGGTCAGGAGACAGCATAATGTATTCCAGGGGTCCCCAACCCCCAGGCCATGGACCAGTACTGGTCGGTGGCCTGTTAAGAACCGGGCCACACAGCAGGAGGTAAGCAGCAGTCAAGCCAGCATCACCACCTGAGCTCCGCCTCCTGTCAGATCAGCAGAGGCATTAGATTCTCATAGGAGTGTGAACCCTATTGTGAACTGCACATATGAGGGATCTAGGCTGCATGCTCCTTATGAGACTCTAATGCCTGATGATCTGAGGTGGAACAGTTTCACCCCAAAAGCATCCCCCCAACCCCCATCCCCCATCCGTGGAAAAATCATCTTCCTCTAAACCAGTCCCTAGTGCCAAAAAGGTTGGGGCCTGCTGTTGTATTCAATTGAATTTAGAAAGCATTGATTGAACTCCCTCTAATAAAGCACTAGAGCAAGAACTTTGCAAATGCAATGATTGATAAAACAGCATTTCTGCCTTCCGGCCACTCATAGTCTAGCTTTTAAATAACTCTAATACATGACAGTATGTCATAAGTTCTATAACAGACATTCAAACAGGACGTCTTATTCGTGCTTCCATTAGAGTAGTTATCCAAAATATGCCTCATCTAGGTCCTGATCCTGATCCTTATAATTGTCAACTAAGAATAATATGGAAAAACTACTTTTATCAACATCAATTGAGTTTGTTTTCAATACTCTAGTCCTTAGAGATTCATCTGCACCAACACATCAATTGCTGTCATAGACTTCCATACATATCTCCTGCATGCCTACCATGTGCCAAGGGCCATTATTTTAGCAGCACTAGCAGAAAAGACTTATCTAGGTATACTCTATACTCTTGAAATAGTAATAATAATTAACATTCTGCCTTCTGTTTGAGAATGTTCTCTTTTACAACTGAATTCATAAAATCAGAAGAGACGGGCACAAAGTGGTAAAACTGGAAGGTGTTACTACTGTCAACCAGATGTTAGATTTGTCAAATCAGCCCTGACAATCAAATGCCATTTTAGGGTCCTCTCGCCTCCTCCTGCTAGTCCTGCCCAGATTCAATCACACTTCCCACTAACATCTGCAGGCACATAAGAAGCACTATCACAGGTACTTTTTTATGTTACAAATTTTCCCAAAATAAACCTGCCTCAAAAATATATATTACCATTCAAGCTCAATTTCTACAGATAACTTGCTAAGTAACAATTAGCTAATCCAGTAAAGTAATCTGCAGGAGACGACTAATGAAGGCATTTACCTCTGCCTCCTGATCCCTGCCAAATACCTCCTCTTCCAAAGTGTATGGATGCATTCTAAAAGCCATTCTACCTGTTTTCCTCACCTTCCTCCAAATTTTAATGATTGAGTTAAATAGGAAGATTATATTGTTATAGTAATTAATTAAGGAGATATTTGAGGGGACATGGAGTTTCACGATCATTTATATTATGTAAAAGAGTACCCAATAGGCATGTTTATAGAAGATGTAACAATATGGAACAAATACTAAACAGAAAAAGATAGTCATAAATCAAAGATTGTATTCTTTGTCCTGAATAAAAGCCTCTTCCCTGTAAATCCAATACTGCTTTAACACATCCTCTAAGGATTTGAACTTGATCCTTTCCTTAGAATAATTGTCAAAAACATTACCATGCCCTCTGGCTGAAAAACAACTACTGAGCTCTATTCCTATGGGAGGAAAAAATATATTTTGTGCCAATATAATTTTCAAATATCTTAAGAAAATTTAAAGAGATAAATAATGTTCAAAAGGAGTACTGAAAGAAAGTCACATTCTTAATATGTTTGTTTTTCATAAACAGATGTCTGAAAATTAAAAAGTTAAAGGAATCTATTTGGCAGATGTTGGAAAATTGTTTTTATATTTGAAAAATAATTCATATCAATTTATCATTTTTCTTTCAAGCAAAAATTTTTCCTGAGAAATTATGGAGACAGTTTGTCCTGGACTCTACTGCAATGAACCCCAGAAATATTTGATTTTGCATGCAAATATAGATGCTGGTGTATATTTTTGTAAGAACTTTCCCATTTAGAAAAAAATAAATCAGGAAGGCCAAAAACTCTGGTTTTACTGTTTTGAAAGACACCAGGCAACCGAAAAGGAATATCAAAAAAGCATCTAATAAAAGGAAAAAAAAGACAAGCAATTTTCATAAAATCTAGACAGGAGTTGTCAGGAAGCAGAAGAAAAGTCTCCTTAATACTGTTAGAATGAGAGGCCTGAAAGGAACCTGGGTCGTTTATTTAACTTACCGCTAATCTCAATGTCTCAGTTACCTTGCAGTGAGAAAGCCATGCTGTTTGTTCATCTCTCAGGCAGGGAAATATTTCACAACATCCCCCCAAATTACAGCCAATTAGCAAACTTTTGGAGGACATTTAGCTTTGTACATTATGCAAATCTTCCCTTTATGCTTTAAATATATTTATCGGCTTAGTGGAGTTCAAGAATAAGTGGTCATAGCCTCTATATCATGATATTTATGATTCTGGTAACTATGCTGTTCCTAAATTCTTTCTTCTGAGAGCTAAGTAAGCTCAGTTTCATTTATCTTTCTTCATATATATGTCAAGGAAGTCATTTAATATAATCTCTTAAGCATTTGAGTGGCGTGTCTCTGAACCCTGCCAATTTTTTTATATCTCCAATTAAATGGGGAATCTAGATGTCATCAAGATAATGAATATAAAGAAAGATTATCTTGCATCATTTGTATTAGGTTGGGGCAAAAGTAATTGCGGTTTTTGCCATGAAAAGTAATAGCAAAAACCGCAATTACTTTTGCACCACCCTAATAAATTGTGCAGTAATTAACTTAATGGCAATTTTCATTTTAATACCTTTAGTGAAGACTTATGAAAAAATTATTTAGACTCTAAGTTAATCTAGGTTTCCAAAAACAACAAAAACAAAAGTTCCTAGTAACAGTTTGACATATGCTTTCAAAAATTCATCATGGGTTCCAACCCAGATACCAGAGAAACTGGCACTAATTAACCCTCTTGTTATATAAAATAATAATACTGGACTGAATATATGAAAAAACTGCTTTCATATATTGAACAACAGGCAGCATAGGTTCGAATTCTAAGAGGAAACAAATGAAGTAAGCTATACAATTACTGAACTTTTTGCCTGAAGTCGCTTTCAAGACTGCTGCACAGAAAGAGGGAACATGGACTATGGAGGTGTCACTAGGTTGAAGAGACAAAGTGCAGACTTCTGAGATGCAAGGTAGGTAGAATTTGAAGAGCAGAATACCTGAAAGGGAAAAGCCATGAAAGAGAGAATTCTAGAAATCTCTAGCTGACTAATAAGCTTCACATTAGTTAATAATAAGATATATGTGGCTAAGAACAGCTACTAGGGAAAAAACAAATATTAGGGAACTACCAAAGCTTACCCAGGACTGGGAGATATTAAATTCCATCCAGCCAGAAGAAGAAACCTCATTGAACACTGAGGCATTCAGTAGAGACTTTAGAAAGACCACAACTTAGAAGCAGGGTTAACCTAACCCTAGAGTAAAAGTAACTCTAGATGTTTACTAACAAAACTCAGTGGGGTGGGGGA
This sequence comes from Homo sapiens, assembly GCF_000001405.40. NCBI lineage: Eukaryota > Metazoa > Chordata > Mammalia > Primates > Hominidae > Homo > Homo sapiens. The sequence continues at coordinate 33,040,959 of NC_000012.12, read as the reverse complement.
AGCCCAAAGGAATCAAGCTGTTCTTCAAAATGTAACTATTGCCATAACAAAGACCTTTTAAAGAATAGATACAAAATCTAAACACTCGAGAACCAGATAAGTGAAACATAAAAAGGTAAGCCAAAACCAGGAGAAAAATCAATTAATATAAATAAGAAATACACAAATAATAAAGGTGATAGACAAAACATGTTTAAACAGATATTAGAATATATTAAAATTTTTGGCCAGGCACCAGGCACGGTGGCTCATGCCTGTAATCCCAGCCTGTTGGGAGGCCAAAGCAGGCAGATCACTTGAGGTCAGGAGTTTGAGACCAGCCTGGCCAACAAGAGGAAACTGTTTCTACTAAAAATACAAAAATTAGCCAGGTGTGGTGGTGGGCACCTGTAATCCCAGCTACTGAGGAGGCTGAGGCATGAGAATTGCTTGAACCTGGGAGGCAGAGGTTGCAGTGAGCCAAGATCATGCCACTGCACTCCAGCCTGAGTTATAGAGTGAGACTCAGTCTAAAATAAAAAATAATAATAAATAAAATTATATATATATATATTCTTCTGCAAGTACTGCAGAAGAAAAGATTAGTGAACTTAAAGACAAAGCAATTGAAAATATACAAACTAAAGAGAGAAAATAAGGCCAAAAAGGAAAAAGGAAAGAGTCTCAAGATTTATGGGGCACTATCAAATGGTCTAAAATATGTATAAGTGAAGCTCCACTGAAAGAAGAGCAATAAAATAGGTAAAGAAAAATTGACTGAAAATTTTCCAGACTTGTCAAAAAATTTTCAGTCCACAGAACAAAGAAACACAAAGTACCCCAAGTAAGATGAGCACAAAGAAAACTGTGTCAAGGTACAACCTAAACAAATTTGTAAAAACCAGTAATAATGAGGAAGTCTTAAAAGTAGTTTGGGGGAAGAAGGGAAATAAAAAGTTGCTCAACATCGTTAGTCATCAATTCAAAGCATATTAAAACCACAATGAGGTGTTACTATACCCATATACCAAAAAAGATAAAACCAAGCAGGTTGACCATCCCAATAGAGCAACCATACTTCTTATACCATACCATTGCAGAAGTTTAAAATGATACAAGCAACGTCTTAAAAGCTAAACATACATCTACACTATGGCACAGCATTTTCATTATTATGTATTTACCCCATAGAAATAAAAGCAAAGAAAAGAATGTTCCTA